>NC_000012.12:72005582-72157097 GCF_000001405.40 Homo sapiens
GGTTTGCATCCATTTATCAAACACTTGTGCTGTCAGGAAAGTCTTTATCTTTTATATCTACAGAGGAAAGAATAAATTGGGTATATTCTAGAAATAGGGGGTTTGTAACTTTCAATCAACTAAGTTCCGAAGTGTTTTAGAGAACATTAGCTGTGGCTGATAAGTTTTGTTTGCTTTTCCTTCTTTGTTTTGAGAAAAAATTGAGCACATACCACTTTTTAATTAAAGAATTGTTTTCCACACATATTTCCTCAATCTTCAAATTTTCCTTTAGTTCTGTCCCCATTAGTGAGAGCTATTTTCATCCAGTCTAATCAATACTCGCCCCTTTCATTGTTCTCATTTTGAGTTTAGATCATAAACATACATCTGTCAGTAGCAAAAGTATTCTAAAGCTCCCCCTCTGCACTTGGTCGCAGATACTCATACTGTTAGGGTGTAAAAGGGAAACTGGAATCCATAAAACAGGGTGAACTCTACTATATATGACACTATGCGGTTTTCCTGAGCTGTGCAGCACAGGGACCTGCTAGTAAGGCAGTATAGTATAGTGGGTAATTCAGAGTGCAGGTTTTGGGGTTAACTTACCTGGGTTTATACCCAGGCTCTGTCACTTACTGGCTGGATGAGGTTAAAGAGAAGATTATTCATAACACTTGTTAAAGAATGGTAAGGAAGACTTTATGCAGGACTATCATAATAGGTGCAGAAACCACTGCAATGGGGTTTTGCAGTAGGGGAGAGAGATTGGGTTCAACTCCTGATACAACAAAGAAAAGTAAGAATTTATAGCCAAGGAACAGGGTTGGGGAGGTGGTGGTCAGTGCATGGAGAGTTACTAAGAGGAAACCTCAGGGGCAAGGGAGGATTCTGGCTGAACTGTCCTAACAGGACTCTTGTGGAAGGCAGGCCAGGATGATTCAGACATCATCTGGGGAAAGGTAGGGGATGAGGAATCTGATCAGATACTGAGGGTGATCAAATATCAAGGGTGATTCCAGTCAGATATTGAGGGTGATCAGATGTCAAGGGTGAGGAATTCTGGCTAAATTAAACAATTTAGCAGGATTCTTGCTAACATTGGACAATGTAGACATGAGCACAGAAACACCAAAGTCAAGGTGTCGCTGGAAAAATGGTTCAGAGGAACCTGATTAGAATTTGGTTAAGATTAAGATCTTTGTCAGTAACTTTGCACAAGTTACTTAACCTCTCTGTGCCCCAGTTTTGTCATCTTTAAAATGAGGCTAATGATACTATACAATCTTGTAGAGCTGTTGTGAGAATTGATGAAATAATGCATTGTGAAGCTGCTTAGCACAGTGCTAAGCGTTCAAAAAATGCCAGCTAGCATGTTTCACATGACTATACTCTCAGACTTCTGGGTGGCCATATCAGAAAGCACTCATGTCCAGGAAAGGCCCCTGGAGAGTTTCTTACTTTCTTCTGTGACCTTGGGTAATCCTCTAACTTTCAACAACTCACGTTTCCCCTTCTGAAGTGCAGACTATGCAGTTTATATTACAAAATGGTTTTAGATGGAGATAGCATGCTACTTTGCAATGTAAAGTGTTTTAACCATAAATAATAGAGGTAAGGCCTCCCCTAAGAGATGTCGAGCTTCTCCTTGGAGATGGAGGAGGCTTCCCCTGAGTGAATAGCACACCTCCCCCGAGCATAGAGAAAGGCAAGTCACAGGAAACAGCTTGGGGAAAACAAATGAAAAAATATTGTTTGTGCCAGTGAGGGCCTGTGAAAGATGAATTCCTGACTAAACTTGTTAAGCAGATTAGGAGTGATGCTGTTCATAAATACATGCAGCCTTCCCTGAATAACTAAATAAAGCAATAAATTTGGGGTTTCAAATCTTGGCTGCTCCTCCTTATGAGTTCATGCTTCTTAGAACTCCAGCCAGGTGTTCGCAGTTTGGATGTAAGATGGCTTCATTAACATACAAGTATGCAAAGAAGCCATTGGAAGAGTTCTGAAAGATGTTGTTTGCTCTAGTTTTGATGTGTTTTGGATATCTCTTCATGTTGGTACACAGGGGTCCTATGTTAGTGTCTAACTAGCAAAGTTTAAAAGTTCTCTGTAATAAAACAAGGGGATGTACCTTAAAATGACATGCTTTAGAAACATTTAATTGTTTAGCTCTCACAAAAACTTTTTTTTTTTGGCTGTTCACTTTTTCCTCTTTCAAATCTAATTAAAGAGTCTTAGTTCTTCCAAGAAAAAAGCCAACGGTATAATAGGCAAGGTAAGGGCATTGGATTTTGCTTCTTTGGAAAGATGTTCTAGCAAAGGCACACTCTTATTGTATTCCTACTAAATATCTTTTCCACAGCGCTGATAGAGTCAGTTATGGCCCATTCATTTATTCATTAAGTAATATTTACTGAGCAACTACTATGTGTCAGGACTTAGTTAATTCAATTGTTAAACACTAGTCCTACTTTTGGGGAGCTTGCAGTCTACCGAGGGATATAGATAAGTGAACAGGGACTTTATAGCTTGTGAAGGCAAAGATAGAAGAAGGCGGGCACTCACATCAGGTTCAAGGAGCAAGATGGCTGATCAAAGGTGGCTTCCTGAGGGGAGGCTTCTCTCAGCAGTCAAATTGGTAAATTTTAATTTGCTGTTACATATGCTTACTGGTAGAATAGATGTTAATACTTCAGGAAACTTTTGCATCTAATGGGCTATCTCTACCTTGGAAAACTCCTTAGATTGAGATTCAGAAACCGTTGACCTGTAATTAAGCCCATGCTTGCCTAATCAGAATGTAATTTCTTTGCAGAATCAGAATCCTGAGATGGGATGAGTTAGCCACACAGATAATGCTGTTCCTTATTGTCCCAGGGCAGGGAATCTTAACCTGAGTTATAGCTCTTACGTTTATTTAGCATCTGACATATGTTCATTCATGTGAGTCTCACAATGGCACTTCAAGGGAGGCAGGACTCATATTGTCCCTTAACACAGTCCTGGTATTCATTCACATGATGCTGCACACACATTCGGTGCTTAATACAATTTTGGTGAGGAAAGGAATCCCCATTTTATAGGTGAATAAAGGGAGGCTCAGACAAATTAAATGTTGTGTGTAAGACCATAATGCAGAATAATGGCAGGGACTGAGCCATTAGTTTTCTGAGTCCTGGGTCCAGTCTAGCAAACTACTTCTCAGGAGTTTAGGGTGTTAGGGTAAGTTGTGACCAAGTGAGACAGCAGAAGCCCTTGTTCATTGTCCTGGAGAGCCAATTTGTTGCTACAAAGTGGATTTCAGGGTCTTTAAATCATGCAATCCTCTAAAAAAGGGATTACAAAGCAGCATCTTCTGGTCTGGCTAATATCTGAGCAGTGTGCATGTGTGTGTGTGTGTATGCCTGCATCTTGCTTATAGTGTAAAAAATTACCTATATTTACACATCAGAGGATATCACATGACATCCAGATTCTTAGCTTCTCTCAAAAACAAAAACAGAAACAAAAACAAAACCAGCTTCTCTGGCAGTCAGATTGCTTTATACCAGTGGCCAATTGATCAGAGCTGAGTTGCTGTTGTTCCCTTAGATGGGGTTCATGATCCTCCCCTGGGAAGTGGAACTTCATCTTCAATCACCTGCCTGTCCTGCCTCTACTGATTGATTAGGGGAAGGGAAAGAGAAGAGAGGGATTGTCATTCTAAGCTTGGGATTGTCATTCTGGCTACCAGCTCTCTTGGTAGCCAAAGCCAGAGAGTAAGTTGGCAAAATAACTTACCATGAGACACTAGAAATATTTCAAGTCATCATCCTTTATTGTCTCATGAATTTTCACTATCCTTTACCAAATTAATTTTGTGTCCATCAAATAATGCAAACATAAGTAGAATGCTGTAATATTACATAGTATTTTGTTTTGTGCTTTGTAATATGGCTTTTTAATAGAGACACAACTTACTATATTTCTAAACTAGCCTCATTGATTGTAATCTCAGCTCTCTTGAGCAGTGCTAGTTGGAGTGCCATTTCCAAATGGTGAGACTAAGAAAACTAGTCTTCCTTTTGTGACTTGTTTGTAGTGTGTGTTCTTCATTGGCTTTCAACAGTCCTGTGTTATGTTTCTTAGGATATCCAGGAGTCACAAAGGAAATGAAGGCACCTGCCCCAGGGCAGGACATGGCAGAATGGCTGCAGGAAAGCTAGACAGACCCCTGTCTTTTCTGGCACACACCAAGCTCAACTATCAAGAACACGATGTAAACATCAATTCTGGGGGCCTGTAATGTTCAGTCACTCTGGGGACAGAAGGAAGATAGTGTGGTATGGTAAAAACAGCACAGTCTTTGGGGGTTAGGCACACTTGATTCCAATCTACTTCTATTGCCCTTAAATTTGCAGAAGTTACTCAAGCTCCATGTCAGTTTCCCCATGTTTGAAATGGGGGATTTAGCACTGGCAAATAATAAAACTTCAATAAGTAGTAGTTATTTTATTTTCTCCATTTTACACACAGGGAACCTAAAACTCAGAATGGTTAGATAACGTCTCCAAGGTCAAGTAAATGGCAGAGCATGCCCTTGAACCTTGGTCTCTCACTCCAAAGTCAATGCTCAAACTACCACATTACATCACTTTCGTAATGTCTGCCTCTCAGGGTTGTTGTGAACATGATGTAAAGTGCTTAACAGTGTGTCTGGTGGAGTGCAGGCTTCAGTAACTGGCAGTGATTATTATGAGAGATAGGTGAGCTCAACTGAGCTTAAATGCCTTCTAGAAGTTCAATTACTAAAAGACCCTCAATGTGACGGGGACCCCAGCTCAAAGGTATATCTTTTCAGCCCCATTTACACATATAGATGCTTGGTGTCATCTCTGAGTATGAGAGATGATGATGCTAGTGGTGATGGTTAGTGACTAGAAAAGAAACATGACTTCATTAATAAAAACTTAAAATAGAAGACTGCTCAGTGCAATGGAGTGGCAAGAATGACTCTCCCTGCCAAACATACCTTTCTCGTCAGTTTTCAGACACGAAATCATCTTCCAGGATTCTCTGTCTTGCCTGGAAAGAAATAGGCGAGAAAGTGCAAGCTCCTTAGACCTAATGTCTAGGAGGGTGTTGCTTTTAGTAATGCAGGAATAAAAATAAAATGACCCTCTAAAAGGCAGTGGTGACTACCCACAGCTCATGTGGGAGTCAGTAAAAACCTCATTTTTCATACTAGCATTCGAGAGCTGACCTTTAAAATCACCACATCTGGGGAGAATGTGTGATTTGATGCAGAACATTTTAGGGCATGCCAAAGGATGAATGGCTGAGAGTGCGCTCATCAGTTTTCTTCTGTTTCAAGGAGCTCAGAATTGCTTAGATTATAAAAATCAGTTCCTGGGCACTGCCAAAGCTATAGCATTTGCATAAGCAGGTCTTCTGTGCAAAGTAGATTAAGCACATATATAAATGGAATGCTGATCCATGCACCTGATATGAAAATGATGTGTACCTGTGTGTGTGTGTCCATGTCCTCACAGTGAAGTTTAGCTATTTCAAGGTAGCTAGTTATGTAAGTTCAGCAAAGGGTCATTTGGAAAAAGATAGAACTGCTTTAAAAGAAGAGCCAAACTCTGTCAATTGCTTTGTTATGGAGATGTTGCACTGAGGCTCATGCACTATTTCTAAGGTCCAATGAGTGAGACTGCTGAATATAAAACTAGTTTTTGATTTGTGAAAGGCAAAATACCTGCAGGTCCAGAAGGAATAAAATATGCCTGTTTGTATTAATAAAACCAATTTTTAAAGAGCCATGGAATTTTGTAAAAAATAGAATTGGATGGATGGACATCTCACAGATTCATCTCCAAGAAAAAATAGCATCTCTCTGATCTTGTGTTTCATCATCTGCTAAATGAAGGTCTGGGCAGTGATGCTGATAGAAATTCCCTGTAGCTGCTAATTCTGAGCAGGTTGGGCTGTGAGGCACTTTGGAGCTTGGATCTGTTACAAACTCGTCCATTCTCTAGCATTTTCCCTGGCAAGTCTCCAGTTGGCTACAACCTTCAAAAGCAGCAAACTGAAAAACTTTCCCCCTGACATTTTTGGATGAGAATCCAGATGTCAGAATCAATGGGTCTTCAGAGTTGCTACTTGTAATGAAGGAGACCAGAGACCACTTAACTACAAAACTGCTGCCTAACTTCTATAGGAGCTACCTGCCAACCAACCTTCATCCATGCTCCAAAAGGCCTGTGGTGTCTTAGGGCCTGACTGTGGCAAGGAGGCTGGTTCCACCCTTCCTCACTGACTTGGGGACCACTGGCTATTGCTTAAAGGGAGTAGAGAGAGAGGTCAAAGAGCAGACCTATTTCTAAACCTATAAGTGAAAACCACTTTGATGGCTACTGTAGACTTTTACAAAGTCTGTAATACTGGAAAATTGGCTGAGGTTAGTAATGACTCACTCAGAAGGCTGACATTGACTCTGTTGGTATGGCCTGCAGGGCAACTCTTCTTGCTTATCTATTTCCTCCCTCCTTCTCTTCCTTTCTTTCTACCTTAACTATTTGCTGAGTACCTTCCGCATGTCAGGCAGGATGATAGAGAGCAGGAATTCAACAACAACAACAACAACAACAATAACAACAACAACAACAAAAGTCAGACCCTCTTCCTGATTCCAGGAAGCTCAGGGTCTGGTGGAGAGGACAGGCAGGAAGACTGGCAGTTTCTGTGTGGATTCGTATGGGCTACACTGGGGAAGGGAGGAGGGCCACCTAACCTGCCAGATGGACACGAATCAGACGAAGGGGCTCGGCAATGACAAGAGCATTCCAAGCAGAGAGAACACAGTGTGCAAAGGCCCAGGTGGAATCTGCAAAGAGCAGGATCAGTCTGTGCAATTGCCACTAGTTCCCCATGGGGTGGACAATTGGGAGGAAGACGGTGGAGCAATGAAGGTTGAGAGAAAGCGATGGCTAGACCATGGAGGGCCTTTTCTGCCACATAAAGAAGTTTGGACTTTTACTCTAGAGCAATGAGACCATGAAGGTTTGTCATTGGGCTACCAGATGGTTGTCATGACCTACCATTGAGTCTTGGAGATGGGAGTATCTTAGATGGATCTTGCCAGAGTTTTAAGTGTGGGCCAACTCCTTGGGTGGCACCAATGTCAGATGAATGCATGACATTCCTGTTAGTCCTTAAGTGAAAGGAAGAGATTGGGGTATATTTCTTTTTTCTTCTTTTTTTTTATTTTGGAAAATACCATTAAAGGCTGGTATAGGAAGTAGTGTTAAATAAGAAGTCAGGTGGCCTTCTTTGCAGTTGAAAATGCTCCCAGATAAGCTGAGGAAGGGGCAATAAAACTGAAATGGCCAGAGTACACTTAAACACAATCACCCATTTATTCTTGAAAGCAACCCAAAAGATATAGGAAACAATAGTTAAGAAACACACAGAAAAATTCAGACTAAAACAGTGCTGCTGAAAATCGCCTATGTCGACATATTCTTCAATAAAAGTTGTTTTCTGCTGACACTTTTTTTTTCTTCCACGGATGTCCCTCTTATATTTGATGATCAATTTTCCACAAGGTTTGCCATAATGTTTCCTCAGAGTTTAGGTTTTTACATTTTAATTCATTCGATGGCTGTTCTTAACCTAAGACAATGTATGCTGTTTTCACAATTCAGTGTCATCTTTTTCTAGCTGACAAGATGTTTCTCAAATCCCAACTCTTCTCTTTTCTCCACATGTTTTTCCCTCTCTTGCTTTGAGGAGAATCACTGGTAAAAGAGGCCATCTCTGCCGGTCTCAGTGTAGCCTGTGATCTGGTACATTCTGTAATTTGACTGACCTCCACCTTCCTATGATGTGCCTTTTGGGTTCCCTGAAATCACCCCCATCCCTCCCAATACCTCAGGCCAGTGTCCTAGACCATTTACTTTTTCCAATAACTTCTCTTCTTGCAGTCCTTCTAAGATCCCATTTCTCCTTCAAAATTTGACACAAGCTTCATATTATTCACATCCTGAGACAGATAAGCAAAGATGAATTCAAGATTGAATGAGATGTTTGTGGTAGGAGTAAAAACAGGAGAGATTTATTATTATCATTAGTCTCTCTGTATCCCTATCATGCCTTTCTTGAGCAGAGAGACCATCTCTTTAGCTACCTTTGTCATCTCAACTAGAGCTTAGCACAGTGGAATTTAGTACATTTAATTTAAAAAATGTGATTTGATGAAGTTGTGACCTACTGATCGCTATGGACCAGCCCTAATGTCTTCCAGCTCTAAGTTTCTAGCATTTTTTACACTCTAGCTGGGGTAGGTGGTAAAGGGGTGAGAGTGGGAGGGGACTCTGAGGGGTCTTCACCTTTCCAACAGCTTTGCTATGAAACCCAGTGAATGGTGGGTTTCGTTGAGAGGCTCGAAGAGAGTATATGGTAAAATATGAGAATAGAAATCTAGGTGTAGCTGCAGTCGTGAAAGGCATTTGGACCAGTGGTACTTGGAATTTATATGATGACTGCCTCCCAAATCTGTGAATGCTTGATTAGTGGCTTCCTATTGCCAAAGGGAGGCTTCAAGATGTGACATGAGTGGCTTGTGATTACAGAGCAGCTGCAGCCCCAGGATTGCACAGAACCATGTTAGTGAGGACTAGAACTCTGGACCAGCCCTAACATCTTCCATCTCGAAGTTTCTAGCATTTTTACCCTCTTAATTTACATTTTACATAGGACTAGCCCAGGGCAAAATAATAAAGCATGCAAAAACCTATTTTCTGCTATCTCTTGAAGCCTAGTCCCAGAATTTTTTTTTTCTTTTTTTCTTTTTTTTTTTTTGAGAAGGAGTCCCACTCCCTCACCCAGGCTGGAGTGCAGTGGAGTGATCTCGGCTCACTGCAACCTCCGCCTCCCTGTTTCAAGTGATTCTCCTGCCTCAGCCTCCAGAGTAGCTGGGATTACAGGCGCCCGTCCCCATGCCCAGCTAATTTTTGTATTTTTAGTAGAGATGGGGTTTCGCCATGTTGGCCAGGCTGGTCTCAAACTCCTGACCTCAGGTGATCTACCCGCCTTGGCCTCCCGAAGTGCTGGGATTACAGGCGTGAACCACCGTGCCCGGCCCAGAAAAATTTTTAACTCAAGAATGCTTGCCCTGCAAAACAAAGCATTGGGGTAGTTGTTGATGCCTTAGTGTGATTTGGCTTTATGTGTGATTCTTAGGAGTATTTGGAGTTTAAATGATTGAAGAAACAACAAAAATTGATGTCTGGTGGGAGGTTTGGATGAACGATGTTGGGATAGATATTTCAGAGGCAGTGGGACCTCCATAGTTTAAGCAATGCAGCCTCTGTTTTCACTTTTGGTTCCCAACGTTGATTTTTATTGCCTTAAAACCTCTATTCCAAAGCTTTTTGTTTAGCTATGAAGCCTCATTCTTATTTCAGTACTATTGTCATTTGCAATTTAATCAAGATTAAGGAATCTTGGCTAAAGGTGGGAAAACACTTGCTGCTTGTAAACTGACATTTTGATATAGCAAAATTCCAACTCTAGTAGCTAGGGTAGGTGGTAAAGGGGTAAGTGGGAGCAGACCTTGAGGGGCCTTTACCTTTCAACAACTTTGTAAGTGTATACATTGACATACTAGTTGTCTTCTCAAAAACTAGATGGAAAAATGTTAGTAAAAACACTGTGAAAGGAAGGCTGTGAGCCACAGAGCCCTTTTATGTGGTTTTTTTTTTGGTTGTTTTTTTTTTTTTTTTTTTTTTGAGATGGAGTCTCACTCTGTCACCCAGGCTGGAGTGCAGTGGTGCGATCTTGGTTCACTGCAAGCTCTGCCTTCCGGGTTCACGCCATTCTCCTGTCTCAGCCTCCTCAGTAGCTGGGACTACAGGTGCCCACCACCACGCCCAGCTAATTTTTTGTATTTTTAGTAGAGACGGGGTTTCACCGTGTTAGCCAGGATGGTCTCGATCTCCTGACCTCGTGATCCACCCGCGTCGGTCTCCCAAAGTGCTGGGATTACAGACGTGAGCCACCGCGCCCGGCTTTATGTGTTTTTATCTGCACTTAACCAAAGCTACAGCCGCTGATGTTAGAACATCTTTGAGTGACAGTCTTCTTTTCTGAGATTTATCTTTTTGTTATGACTTGGGCCCCTAACAGCACAGATGCTTGCTAGACTTGCATCTGAAAGGACCCTGGAATTCCCAGCTTTATAGACATTGAGCCTTTATTTGCTAGATCATGAAGAAGTGGCAGTGGTGGGGAGGGTGCGGGGGATGAAACCTAGAAAGAGATGGGGCAGTGTCAGTGGCTGGGGTCATGGGGAGCATAAGGTGATAGCTACTTACACTCATCCTGGAAATATTTCAGTATTTCAACAACAGGAATGGCTGTGCCAGTGTGACTGACTGATAGTGGCCTTGTATCCATAAGTGCAGTTACTGATAAGAAAAGAATGCTGGATTTGTAGATGGGAAACTTGTGCATGATTCCTAGCTCTGGCAACCACTAGTTTTGGAACCGGGCAAACCACTTGAACTTTGAGTCTCAGTATTCCCATCTATAAAATGGAAATAATAAGTGCTCTATCTACTTCACAATGGGCAGTAAGATAACATATGTGAGAACACTTTATTAAATGAGGAAGCCTTCTTCTGGTTGAGTTTTCCTATTATTTTCATATTTCTATATAATTGATGAATTATACAGTTCTTTAGTGATAACGTCAATATGGAGCGTTTATTTACTCAAACACCAAATATTGTATTGATGAACTTTTTGGGTTGGGCTGCTTTTTGGACATATTTTTCTTGTTCCCCTTCTAAGTGAGGGTGTGGGTTTGGAAGCTACGTAACTAAGCTTTGTTAGAACTGTGTACAAGATAAAGATAACTAGGGTCTGAGGACCTGAGGGAGTATCTTATAAGTGAAGTACACCCAATTTAGCCTATAACTTTTTGTTATGTTTGGCACATCTCAAACCAATCTCAAATCCATCTTAAAAGGGCCCTTTTAAGTTCTCTTTGATAACTTCTTGCTTCCTGCCTATGTGCTAGATATATAGTTAATGGAATTCTAGATGTGGAATGATGTATGTGATTATTTTAAAATATATGCTACCAATATGCAAGATCAAATTTTTAGGGAAGGCGATAGGGAAAATATATCACTCAGTCACTTCCTCACTTGCTTACTCAGGAATTTATTTCTTAAATGATGTGTGTAAGCCAATATCCTGGAGGAAGTGAAAGAAGTAGGCAACTCGGGCTTCCTCCTAGAAGTTTATATGTATCATTTTAATCTAATTTATGAACATTCAAGGACCCTCAGGAAGAGGCTATGTAATTATTTCAAGGAGGGATGCAGAGGGAGTGAGAGGAGGGAGGCAAAAGGGCCCTTCAGTAGGGAAATGGGAATAGTAAATTTCTTTCCCATCAAGTGTTCTTTGACAAAGTCATACATCTCTTTAATTGTGACCTTAGCAAGAACTTCAGGTGCCTAATGCCAAACATAAGAAGGGTTTTGCATAGAGTGCTTTTATAAATCACCAGGTGGCACCATTACATATTTTATTGGTGTGATTCTGTGTCTGTGGACTTGGTCCCTTCAAGCTTTTGCCACTGCCCATTTGGCTAGGCCCGAACTGCTGCGAGAATGGTGTACTACCAGTAGTGATCTGAAGATGGCAGCATTGGGCGACCTATCTCATTTTCCTAAGCACACTCACTGCAGCTCGGGTCGACAGCGTGTTTGGATTTCAGATTGTCACTCAGACTTTCTTCTGCTTAATGACTGCATGTATGTAAATGCCTCTGCTATTCTTCCATAAAAGAGGTCTGAGCTATCATTTCTGTTTTGGTTTTTAATGATTATATGTAATTATATCCAAATAAAATATTTATAAATAATTACATGTCATTAATAGTATGTAAAATTTGGAATTCATGAACACCAGCTTTGATGAAAGATACCCTTCAATTTGGGAGGTGTTAGTCTTAGTATTATTATTTGTTTCTGTTTAAAAGACATTAGTGGCCAAGAATCTGCAATTTTCTTTTACAGGTGTTCTTACAAGTCTCAGCATATTTTTATTTTTTTGTTTTCTTGATAATAGGTAGGATTATTCATTTGGTAAATCTCTAGGGAATATATTATAGATCCACATCTGGAGAATTATCTGAGGAAACCAAATTATATTTTCTTAAACGTTCATGAAGCAATTAGTTATCCTCAACTTCTGAAGGGTCTTCAAGGGGTCATCGAGTGCAACTCTAAGTAGGCTTTGCATTTAAAACCAGACTGTAGCAATCAATGTGTGGTTGCCCTCTCCTCTTGATTAGTGATCATGCCCTATGCATTCTGAGGTCTTCACCAGTATTGAAAACAGAAAGAGAAAAATTATCCTGAGCAAGTTTGTGATTCAAATTTTGCTAATAACTTAATTTCAGATGCAACTTACCATTTCTCTTTATCTCTTAACAACACATGGAGCTGCAAATAGAAAACTGTCTCAGACTAAAAGGTCTAATTCTCTAAACAGAATGGGCTGTAGAAACAGCATTTAGGGACCTTCCTTGGTTGAGGACAGCAGGAAACCAAAGGGAAAGGTAGATAGGGAATGAGCAGATGGCACTATGTAAGGCCAGAGTTTCTGGAAGGACTCCCAGATGAGGTCTGGGGCCAGAGAGCATTCTAAGTGATGGGAAGGAAGAGCACAGGGGCTCTTTTCCTCTGAGGTTGCTCTGATTCTAGAAGCACATTAACCAAAGACACACTGGGTGAGAGATTTATCTTTGAATCTTTAGTTGTATTGATGCAGACCTACCTTTTAATTCCTACCTTAAACTAGGATGGTTTGCCAAATCTATGTGAAGACTGTGTCTATGGCACACCAGATTTTTTCAGAGGCTCTCTTAGCGTGTTTTGGTTCAGATCATAAATGTGACCATGAATTATGTATGCATTGATTCAGCATAAAAAAATTAAACATGTGCTTAATAGGCTGACCCAAACGCTCCTGTAGCTGGCTCTGAACGTGTATTTTGGATGCTTTTGAATTTGATAGCACATTTTTTCCACGAGCTCTTCTATATTCAATGTTAAGGCTCCAAGGATTTCGTGTCAGGTGTTGTAAGTGCAATATAAATTAGGAAAATCAGCCAAAGGCACACTAAGAAGATACTGTGACATTCTAGTTTTCCTCCATTTTAGACTTTTATTTCTCCATTATTTGGTTGTGAAGGAAAATTATGCATCTATTAATTTTTTATCTAGAAACTTTAAAATGTGACAGATGTTGATGTCAAGCTCCTTAAAATCCTGAGCTCTAGATCTCTTAAATGTCACCATCTAGACTGCTCCTGGGTAAATCACTTCATCTTCCTCAACTTGAATTTTCCTTTTGGTAAAATAGGAGAGCTGAACATCCCAGATACTTCCAAGCCTTTGTGCTTTATTCTATGACTGTATGATTACTTCCCTTCATTGCACCCAGAATTATGCAAATTTTTTAGAGGATATACTTGGAGGCTGTATTTTAGCTTTTCAACATGTATTTACATTATTTATCTTGGTTCTTCTCCTAAGGGCTCTGCGATATTTACTTCTCCCAACCCCCTGCCATCCCTAGCCCAAGTCATACTCGTGTTCACTCACTACTCTTGTGTGCCACTGCCATCTAGCTGGTCTGTTTCCACTCACTTTTGCTCCCCTACAATCTATTTTCCATGCAGTACCTCCATGACCTTTTGAAAGCTAAGTTAGTACATATCTTTCTCCTGCCTAAAACCCTCCAGCAACTTCCCATTGCTCTTGGAAATAAAAATCTATTCCTGCCTCAGGGTCTTTGCACTTGCTGTCCCCCCTTCTAGGAACATCATTTTCTCTATATCCTTGCACAGCTGCCTTTTTAATTTCTTAATGAAAAGCTGCTTTTAAAGCTGTTTGCAGCTTAAACAATACCCCTTCACTGAAGCTGTCTCTGACCCTTTTTCTAAAATAGTCACATTCCCTGCTTAATATTTGACATATTATATGGTTTTGTTATACATAGAATGTATTCCACCTGACATTATCTGGCTATTGATTTTAGTTTTTGTTATTGCCTGTCTCATCCCAGTAGCATATATGCTTCATGGGATCACAGGCTTTGTTGCCTTGTTCATTGCATATCCTTAGCATCTAGGGCAGAGTCTGGCATGTAATAGTTGCTCAAGAAGTATTTGTAGAATAGGTGAATGAATGAGTGGATGGATGTCACAGAATAGATGAATGAATGGATGGATCGATGTCACAGGCAGGAAAACTACAACCCCGGGGTTGGAGTCACATAGCTAATGAGAAGCAGGGCTCAGACTAGAACTTGGATCCCTTTGTGTGTTTCTTTCTTCCAGGTCATTCTGCCACATGCCAGCTTAACTTAGAGATCATTAATTCATTTACCGTTTATTTATTAATCCAGTGCTTATTAGGCTCTTGTTATCTTTCAGACAATAGTCTAGATCAGTTGTTCTCAACCAAGGATGATGTTGCTCTTCTGGGAACATTTGCCAATGTCTGAAGACATTTTTGGTTGTTACAAAGGGGGTGGGAGTGCTACTGGCACCTAGTTAGTAGAGGCTAGAGATGCTGCTAAACATCCTACCATGTACAGGACAGACTCCCACAATTATGTAGCCTAAAATGTCAATAGTGCTGACTTTGGAAAACCTTGTCCTAAATGAACAGACACCTGCTTTTTTGGAGTTTATAGTCTAGTGTTGGGGGATAGATGATAAGCAGCACATATCATGCATATGGAAATTGCAGTCTATGTAAAGAAGTGTTTCATAGAAAGAATGAAAAGATGGAACAGAGTAAGGAGGAGTGGTAGTAAGTGCTGTAGGTTGTGATGGAGGGTAGGAAGGGCTGTTATTTTATTTTATTTTATTTTTGAGACGGAGTTTTGCTCTTGTTGCCCAGGCTGGAGTGTAATGGCACGAACTCAGCTCACTGCAACTTCCGTCTCCTGGGTTCAAATGATTCTCTTGCCTCAGTCTCCTGGGTAGCTAGGATTACAGGTGCACCACCACGCCCAGCTAATTTTTGTATTTTTAGTAGAGATGGGGTTTCACCATATTGGCCAGGCTGGTCTTGAACTCCTGACCTTAGGTGATCTGATCCCTTTGGCCTCCCAAAGTGCTGGGATTACAGGTGTGAGTCACCACGCCCAGTCTAGGGCTGTAATTTTAGCCTCTTTGGGAGGTGAATCAGGAAAAAAAATTTTACTTCTGGAGGTTAAGCTCCATGACCTGGAAATGATCAGTCCTTTGGGTCCAGCTCAGTGCTGCAGAGCTTTGGAAAATTCAACTTCAGAGATCACCCTCACATCAAAAAAATATATAACCTTCCTGAACCAAGGGACATCTTAGCCTCCAAATAAAAATAGAGCAAACTGACACGTGCTGGAAATAATTATTATTTTCTGCCCCTTTTCAGGAGTGTTTAAATTCCTTTCTTAACACCTTCAGTGCTCTATCATCATTAATGCAGGACAGTGCTAATTTGATGGAATTTTTATTGCTTGTTGTCAGCATCTCACTTTTCTTTCAGAGCAAAAATAGTGCGAGTTCAGCCTCTCTCAACAGCACTGTGAGTTTTTTGTTTTTCTTTTTTTTTCTTCTCGTTGTGCAAAGATTCCTCCGTCTGTTTAGGTTGATTTCTTAAACCCAACAGAAGCAATTGAAGATATTAATGTCCTGGGGAAGTTGTAGTAGTTGATGCTGATAAAACTTGGGCCAATAAAGTGTGTGTGTGTGTGTGTGTGTGTGTGTGTGTGTGTGTGTATGTGTGTATAACATCCGCCCCACTGCTTTCCAATTTATATTAGATCAACTTACAGTTTTTTTTTTTAACTTCATGATGGTGTGAAAGTGATATGCATTCAGTAGAAAACACACTTCAAATTTGGAATTTCGATCTTTTCAACACTTTATTATGAAATAGGCTTTGTGTTAGATGATTTTGCTCAACTGTAGACTAATGTAAGTGTTCTGAGCACTGTTAAGGTAGGCTAGGCTAAGCTAGGATGTTCAGCAGGTTAGATGTATTAAACACATTTTCAACTTAGGATATTATTTTCAACTTATTGGGTTTATTGAAATGTAAACCTATTGTAAGTCGAGCAGCATGTACATACACAAATACATATATAAACCTACATGTGCATATACATATGCAAACATAGATATATATTTAAGATTTTACTAAAAAAGTATATTAATATTGTGGTTTTGGTAATTTGGTAGTCATATAGAGGTACTTGCTTTCTTGGTTGCTCTCTTGTTTCTTTACCACAATTCTTTACCAAGCACTGGCACCAATGAATATTTGTTGAATAAATAAACAAACTGCCAAAAACAGTTAGCGATTACTGGATTCCAACTTATTTTTCCACATTTGCATAAACTGATTTATGTCACTGAAACAAAATTTGGTAAATATATAGCATATTGTTACGGAGGTATCATTGTGATATAATTATTCATTTCTACATCTGTGTTTTTTGTTTTTAAAATGATTGCAGGGGATATAATTTGACTCATAGGGCTTCTGAATTCAGGAAGCGTAAGACTCTTAGTAGTTAATACTTTTTTCATATACATTCAACCTAGGGAGAGAATACTGAGCAAGAGAATAGATTTCAATAAATGTTCTTGATTTAAATGTATTTAAATTGATAATATTGAAGAAATTATGCACAGCCCACCATTTTGTTTTGGGTGCCATTTAATCCTATCAAATAACTCATTGACCAGTTCACTGAATATGTGTTCGTTTTTCTTCAGTGCTATTTCTTCACAATCGAGTTTGGCCTTTGCAAGCAAGAAGGGCAACTGCGGGCATATGGAGCAGGACTCCTTTCCTCCATTGGAGAATTAAAGGTATGAAGCTGTGAATGAAAATACCCTTCCCATGCAAACTGGTTCAAGGTCAGGGAAAATATTGATTTGTTTGTCTGAGCATTTCTACTCACAGATACTCCATAAATATTTAACATAGAGGATTTGGCACCTCGGATGTGGGTGCCGACCTCACTTTTCGCACTTGTGAAAATGGGTCATGCCTTTCTGGATTTGTGGTGTGACTCAAATGGATGAGCAGCCACGTGTACAAATCAACAGCAATGACAAATGTATGCCCAAATCTTGGGTAACAAATGGCAGGCCTAAATTTAGTGCTAAAAAGTGGGCCATGAGCTAGCAGTGATCCTACTGACTGAAATTCACTTGCGAATGTGGCTTGGCTACTCTGATTTCCATCACCTCCCTGGCTCCTTTGGACTCCCCAGCATCTACTTCCTAAAAGGGAGTTTGATGTTGTTTCAGCTTCTTCAAAATTAATGTGCATTAAAACATGTGTGGACATAAACAATTTGGAAAAACAAACCAAACAAGTATATTATCAGAGAGGTATCTATTATGTGTAATGGTGCCTAAAGAATGTCACTTTGTTTTAAAATACAATAAAATGGTCACTTTTTTTTTCCAGAAATGTTGAGACCTGGAATATTCTGATAATTTAAATATTCTGGTCTTTTAAGAATTGCCATTTATACCATGGGGGGATAGCAAGTTTTGATGCATTTTAAATGCAGTGTGATACACAATCTAGAATAGTACTGAAAATAATTTAATCTTTCTTTGACTATTCAGACTAAGGTCAGGATTGTGGACCATTCTTGAGTTTTTATTTTGAGCATTGATTATCCTTATGTAATATAAATGGGAAGTATATAGTTATTGGTACTTTTTGGCCATTTGCATTATTGAAAGATGCAAAGTAATTGTAGTTTTATTGAGTCTGGTCATTTTATGACTTCATTCATTCATTCATTCATTCATTCCTCAAACATTTGGTTGAACACCTAGTGCCAGGTACTATGGCAGTCACTGGGGATAAAAAGACAAGTAATAATGATGAAGAATAAGAAGAAAGGCCAGGTGCATTGGCTCATGCTTGTAGTCCCAGCACTTTGGGAGGCTGAGGTGGGCGGATCACCTGAGGTCAGGAGTTCAAGATCAGCCTGGCCAACATAGTGAAACTCCATTTCTACAAAAATGCAAAAATTAGCTAGGCATGATGGCGGGTACCTGTAATCCCAGCTACTTGGGAGGCTGAGGCAAGCACTTGAACCCAGGAGGCGGAGGTTGCAGTGAGCCGAGATCGCGCCACTGCATTCCAGCCTGGGAACAGAGGAGACTCTGACAGAAAAAAAAAAAAAAAGAAAATAATGATAACAGCCAGAACAAGCATTTAAATAGACAATATTTCTGGTGCTTTAGACATATTAACCCATGTAATGCTCATAAGAACCCAATGAGATAAGGGATATTTATATCACAGATGAGAA
The DNA here is from genome assembly GCF_000001405.40 of Homo sapiens. Taxonomy (NCBI): domain Eukaryota; kingdom Metazoa; phylum Chordata; class Mammalia; order Primates; family Hominidae; genus Homo; species Homo sapiens. The sequence goes on from NC_000012.12 coordinate 72,023,964, forward strand.
AACTGAGGCATAAAGACATTAAGGAACTTGCCGAAGATCACACAGTTAATAAGTGTTGATCTGGGCTCAAATCCCAGCCATCTAGGCTCTAGGATCTGAGCTCCTAACCACTAGGCTGCACTCCCTGTGATCCCTGCCATCAAAGAGTTTACAGTACATTTTAGTGCAAGAGATAAACAACCAATCACATAATACAAAAAGTGTGACAATGAAAGAAATGTGCCTGGCTCATATTAGGCCATGCCTGAGAAGCCTTCCTGTCAAGGGCCCTGCTGTCCATGCTGATTCTTGAGGAATGGAAAGGGTAAATAAGGAAAGGATGGGGTGCACCAGTCTGTCAGTGGAGAGCCACGTGTGGACCCTCAAGATTCTAGCTGAAGCCTGGTCCATTGAAAGAACTGTCTGGGGTTCACTGGAAAAGAGGATAATAATATTCAACCTAACAAAAAACTGATGACCTGATGTAGTATGGTAATTTTTTTAAAAAGTAAATTCTCAACAAAGAATCTATTTGGTGTTAATCTTAGTGCAGTGGGCAAAGCCCACAGCAACAGCATAATGCCATATCCCCAATAAGGGCATGCACTCTATAGAGTGTTTCTTGATTTCCCTGAACAAAAGAGTCAGAAAATGATGTAGCTCTTGAGCTGTGTCTATTTACATCCTCCTCAGACGGTTTATAAGTTACACCAGAAACAAAGGAAACGGATCTCTCTCATGGCCCTGACTTTCCACAGGATCTTCTGGTCTGGTTAATGAGGCATGTGTGGGCAGCACTAGGATGAATCTGTTGTTTTTGTTCCTACTGGTGTGGACAGAATCGTCTGGAAATGGAAATCAGCCAGAAATACGTACCAAGAAGGGCATTGTTCACAGAATACCTTCTTGCTCTGGTCCATTACCTCTAGTCATTAACATTCTTCCATTCTCCAATTTCTATACCTCAACACCCCTAAGATTGCTACACTGGACCATTTTTACAATTCAGAAATACTTTCTATGTGAAATATCTTCTGAGTTTTCACAGAGAATACGTAACACAAGATGCTTTCCCTAGCATCTCTTCCCCCACATTCTCCTTGCCCTGCTTGTGAAAGTACCCAGAGCCCTCTCAAAGCACTTCTGAGTACTTTTAACCTTTATTTGAATGAAAAAATGATAGTCCTGGACCCATGTAGGGATAACTTTATTAATAGCGTTATCATAATTCCTGTGTAAACAAGCTTACAGTTTTGAGTGCAGTTACCTTTTGCAGTAAAATATTTTATGCTGTTCCAACTGCAGCCCAAATGTAAGTCCCAGCTACTGGAGGGTTTTGGGGTCATCTTTACAACTTTTTAGATTGGGTTGCTGGAGGTTTTGGTGTCACCTTTATAACTTTTACATAAGTATCCACAATCATCTTCTCTTCTTAAACAGAACACATTCTATACTTTGTGCTATAAGGGGCTAAATTTTCCTGAGACATAGATGTTGTTCTTTAGAGCTGGCCAAGTACTTCCGAGTGGTATACCTATAGTTCAGATAACTTTCATTTTTTCCTCTTATTTTTTGACAATACTAATTCTTTTTGAAGATAGAAACAAAATAAATATGGAAAAGCTTGTAAAAGTTAGCATAAATCTTACAACCATAAACACTACTTTTTCCCCCACAGCAATGGTTGCCCCTCTCTTATTCTAATGATCTGTTCTGTGGTGTACTTACAGGAATGCCAAAAAGTGCATTTGGGTGGGGCTTTTCCATACCTTTCATAACTGTGGAGAACAATTAACAATGAGCTGAGTCACCTGGAACACTGACTTTAAAGAAAAGGTTGAAAGTAGGATTATTGCCTTACCCACAGTCTAGCTTGTGTCTTTCCTTTCACACTTTTTCTCTTTATCCTGAGTTGATCTAACTATATGTCTATCGTTTTTTTGATATATTATTTGCTTGCTTATTCATTAATTTTGTTCAACAAACACAAAATTGATGGTCCAAGATTTCAAGAACTTGGAATGTAGTAGGGAAATTCTAAGAAAGTGATGATACAGATCTTTGTTGAGTCCAGTTCTCTTGGAGAAGTGACAGTAAAGTTTGTTCACTTCAGGTGGTGAGGAAATGATTGCTAGCCAATGAACTGGCTGAGTCTTGTATCAAAAAGTTAACCCATCTCAAAAGCAAAAGGCAATTTCTACTCCTTTTTCATGAGTAAAGGTAAGGTCTAGATATTTATATCTTTCAGGCCAGAGATTAGATTTTTTTTTTTTTTAGCATCCACCCCATAGTAGTTGCTGACATATTACATATAAACACATCTGTTTCGCTCTTTGGGTTTTGAAAAAGCTGATGGTTTAAACAAATTTACTTATTATTTTTTGGCTTTAGTTTTAGGATATCTTGCATGGCAAATTTATTGTGTTGCCTTGATATAGCTATTATCAAGCTTGAATGGCTATTCTCAGAATAGCTTTATATTTATTACAAGCAATTTGTATTTATTACCACTTGCAGCAACTCTGGGAGGTGGTCAGAATTAGTGCTAGTCTGTATAGAAGAGGCCCAAGGGCCTTGCAGGTTCTCTGATGTCATCTGTTTGGTCAATGGTGTGACTAGAGTAAGGACTCGCTGCTGCTGAGCTCTCACGTTTACCCTGTTCAGATGACTTTCGAGTCCCTTCCTCCTGCTCTTTCTTCTCATGAAGTTAGTGGTGTTGGTAATGACAGAGTAAATGCTGGACGTTGGGAGCTGGAAACTCTGTCTTTGGTTTTTGTGGAAGGATTGCTTGAAGATGGAGGTTGTTCCCTCAACCCTGCAGCTTATTCAAATTGGTGAAGCCTAATCGCTAATTTAAAAAAGTGTAATGCATCATTGCCTAATTTGGCAATGGGGATATAGATGTCACATTGTGTTTGTTTAGCAGGATGAGCCTTTGAGGGAGGCTCAAAAATATTATATACACACATAATGCATTTACACATATACGTATGTATATATTTGTTGTTCTTTTGATGTGGAAAAAGATGACTGTGATGTGAGTGTAAAGTGTTTGCAAATTCTTATTCAGAATCTAGGGCCCAAACTATTCACAAACCTGACTTCACACTTGAGTTTTTTTTTTTTCCAACTTTAACCAGTCTTAATATAGATAGTGAGTGTCACAGGGTTTGCATATAGAATAGTCGAGATAATAACTGTCATTGAAAAAGCAGGTGTCTGGGAAGAAGGAAGATTTTAAACTGATGAACCCAGGGCAGACACTATCATAGTCTAGGACCTGAAAGCCTCAGAGCTGGGGCCGTTTAATTCTCTACGGGTTTCAGACCCCTGAGGGAGAAGGGCTGCACAAATGGTGGAAAGTGTGACTGAACACATATGTACACAAAGCATCATCTCTGGACTGAATTAGTGATGATAACTAAATATACTGAGCACTTCCCATGCCAGGCACTTTGCATCCATTACCTCATTTAATTTTGACCACAACCCCAGGTTATAGATATGACTATTAGTATTTCCATTTTCCAGATGAATACTCAAATAGGCTTACAGAGGTAAAGTAATTTGCCCAAGGACACGTAGTTAGGTAGAGATGGAGTCAGATTCAAACCTCAATTCTTAACTGTAAAGACCTGTGTTCTTAACCATAAAGACCTGTATTTTTAATTACCTTATAGTATTGTCTACTAATAGTTGGATTCTGGGAAATTTTTGATATTGAAAAGAAATTTTTATATTCAAAAAGCTGGAATGGCAAATAAGTCTTAACTTGTGCGCCAAAGTCAATTAATTGGTAGTAGCCGCCTCTGTGGAGAAGGGTGGGAAATCCATCCGCAGGCCCAGTGGGAAAGGCTGCTATGGTCAATTTACTGTGGCTGGTGTGGAGGGAGGTAAAGGTGGTGTGAGTGCTGTGTACTTGCAGCCTGTTAAAATTATATTTCAAGAAGAGTCTTAGAATTCATCTAGGTCAATCTTTTCAGTTTATCAAAGATAAAGCTGCAGCCCAACATGGGGTAGTTTCACTCATTTGATATTATACGTCTAGCCTCTGGGGACAGCTACATTTAGAACCCAAGTCTCCTGGTTCCCAGCCCTGTGCCCTTGTCTCTAGCACTACGGGTAAATCCAAAATAGTCCTTTTAGAGGGTGTTCTGATGAGAGAAGGTGACTCTCAAGCATTCCTGTACTTTAAAAATGGCTTCAAAGTAAAAGATTGTCAACCAGATTCTGTCAGCATTATAAAGCTTCTCTCTGCAGGAAGTTGGATTAATTCTTGCAAACTTCAGGATATCAGACTGCTAACATTTCAAGACAGAATCACTGCAGAGTTCCCTGGGGACATCAAGTAGTTTGGTTCAATGTTTACAGAGAATCCACTCTGGACATAGAGAAGAGGGTACAATAGCTGCTCCCCAAAACTGAGGGGCTTAGAGAGAGACCTGGATAGAAAATGAGAAGCAAACTCAGTCAGACTTCTCCATTGGGCAATAGAAGTTGGAATCAAAGACATGGATGCTATTTTATACCCCTTGGGACACACTGTAGTATTCAGAGATAGGAGACTTCATGGGCTGCATGGATGTTCCTGGAACTCAGCACACAGTCAGCTCATGGTCAGGTAAATGAGGCCATTTATATGGGTGACATTACTTCATTTGTTGGCTTCATTCACTGGCTGCTCCCCCATCTCCAGGTTCTTGTCATTCTCCAGGCTAATCCATGGGTACCATTATTACCCCCATATTCATTAACAGCCAAACAGCAACACTGGTCCCATACTCCATGGGTGGAAAGGTCTCCAGCAGGTAACCAGCATATCACACGCATAGCAGACTCCTGAGGGTAGGCTGCGTTTTTGAGAACTTAAGACAATTAACTTCCAGTTTTTCCTTTAAATGTTACATTGGTCAAGCGTGATCTATATTCCTAATGGCCTGCCTCAAATTACATGTGTGTGAACCCACTGGTTTTTCTTGAAGTCTGGGGCAGAGTGCCGTATGCTCTGGGCCTTTTCTTGATCTACTTTAATGCTTTTTAGCTGTTAAAATGACTAAATACGTATCTGGCTATCCAGTGGAATTGTCACAAAATGATATTTTTTCCAAAACCACACTGATTTCAGTCTCTGTCATTGCATACACACCTCTGGAGGCATCCTCTATACATAGTGACTGCTAAGGTTGCTAATGTCTTATAGAAGCAATGGAGACACAAACAGATGAGTTTCACTTCTTTCTTGTGCTTGTCCTTGACCCAGTGAAATGTCTTTAGCTTAGCAAGGATGTCCCAAGGGAGCCATGGCTTTAATGTTCTTACAGCCTATTCTGCTACCACTCTGGCCATGACCCTGAATGCAGGGATGAGAGAGTAGGAAGACTAAACACATTGAGCCAGCCACAGTCCTTTCCATATGTACTGATGGATGAATGGACTGTTAGAACAACGTAGTACATTAAATGTAACCAGAGTGTACGGATGCAAAGAAAGCTAATTCGAATTCTGAAAATCATGGCAAGCCAACAGGAAGCCAATTTTTTGCAGAGGGGCAACAACTTTCATAAAGGGACATTTTGTTTCTTGAAACTGTGAATATGTTTCTAAAATTGTGGACAGAATTATTGGTCATGTGGAACCAAAATCCCTTGATGTTCACTGCCCTGCATTGAATCTAGCACAAATGCATTTGCAAGTGTAGTGACCTTCTGCTTATAATGAAGTTGTTCTGTGGGCCAAAAAAAATGAGTTCACGCTGAGAGGCCCTCTGCATTCTGTGATTCATATATGCATTTATCTGGACAATGGAACTTTGCAGGAAAGCAAATCACATGCAGGGTGCCCTTTCTCTTACATGTCAGTCTTTTGGTTCTCAATTGCATTTTCAAACTTAGGGAACCACAGACTTCTTCATGGAGGGCTGTAAATCATTCCATGCATTTTGAAATTGTTGGAGGAATGCACGAAGAATATTGAACAGGAAAGGGTTTTCTGAATTTCTCCAGGAAACCTTAGCTGTTAGAGACTGAGAAGGTAGAAAAGTATAATGGGTGGAATCCAGAGGCTGGGATAGAGATTGTCTTCAGAATCTTCCCGCCTAAAACTCTCATTTACAGTTGAGGAAATGGAGGCACAGGGAGGTTGAATGATTGCTGAGGTTACCCAGTTAGACCTGGACTAAAGCCCCAGTTTTCCAACTCTCAGTTCACGGCAGTTTCTGCTACCCCATTTTTTCTCTCTGCCTCTCTCTCCCAACTAATTTCCCCCTTAAATTAAGAAAAAGAATTAAGAGGAGTATTTCTCAATATATAGTTCACAACCACTTATATTGGAGTCAACTTGGATGCCTTTAAAATGAAGATTTCTAGGTTTCATCCAGACCTGCCAAATGAAATTGAGACCCTGGATATCTGCATTTTCATAAGCTCCTCAGTGATTCTTATGCACATTGCATTTTTAGAACCATCAATCTAGGGTCTATAAATAGGCAGCACATGGCAGGAAATGACCACTAACTTTTAACATCACTGAATTTATCTTGAGAATATAGTCATTCATTGTTCCCTGCTGTTCTTAGTGCTAGTCATGTAGTGAGCTGAACGGAGCTAATGATGGTTCAAAGAGTAATTACGCCAGCTTTCCTGTTTTTCTAATACCTGCTCTTGGCATAACTCTGACTATTAATATTAGCTCCTTTTTTCCTCAAGTGGCAATATTTATCTGCTGTATATTGCTCTGCTGTACTTGGTGGAAGGTAAATGAATGCTTTTTAAGTATCCTCAAATATACAGGCCCACTCCAGACTCTGTTGATACACAGTACCTGGCCTCAAAATATCTCCCAATGAATAGACAAATAGTTTAGTCAGAGCCCCAATTACCTCTCCATGCAGATAATTATTACTTCTGCCATTTAAGTGAAATTTTAGTACATTGCTTATAGCAATAAATTTTGGAGCATATTTATGCTGTCCCTGCTTCTATTCATAGCATAGATTTAAAATCCCATTTCTGTGGGGGAATAGCTCTGAACTGTCCTTCAGTATGAATTTGGCTGGTAATAAATTAAATAATACCACAATCTCATTTTCTCCCACAGTACCTAGCATACTTAAAAAAGCAAAACAAACAAACAACCAAACAAAATCCTAGTTTCCAATTTACCCTGCACACAGGAGAGTTCCATATTTCATGACAGACTAGTAACTGAGCAGCTCTGTAGGATTACCGAGCTATCAAATGTGTTGTAAAAATGTGATGTCATGGAGCTTCGGAAGTCTCATTACAGAGTTTAACAGGTTTTGTGGTATATTTTGCAGCACGCCCTTTCTGACAAGGCATGTGTGAAAGCCTTTGACCCAAAGACAACTTGCTTACAGGAATGCCTTATCACCACCTTCCAGGAAGCCTACTTTGTTTCAGAAAGTTTTGAAGAAGCCAAAGAAAAGATGAGGTAAACTTTTTTTTCCTCCTAGCTAGAGAAAATAACTTTTTATTTTTCTGTCTCTATTCCTTCCTTTTATCTATCCCTCGTACCAATGAGGGTTGATCACATCTCTTTCTACTTCTGTTTATTCTGCAGGGACTTTGCAAAGTCAATTACCCGTCCCTTCTCAGTATACTTCAATCCCTACACACAGAGTATTGAAATTCTGAAAGACACCAGAAGTATTGAAAATGTGGTGCAGGACCTTCGCAGCGACTTGAATACAGTGTGTGATGCTTTAAACAAAATGAACCAATATCTGGGGATTTGATGCCTGGAACTATGTTGTTGCCAGCATGATCTTTTTGGGGCTTAGCAGCAGTTCAGTCAATGTCATATAACGCAAATAACCTTCTGTGTCATGGCTTGGCTAATAAGCATGCAATTCCATATATCTATACCATCTTGTAACTCACTGTGTTAGTATATAAAGCACCATAAGAAATCCAATGGCAGATAACCACTCATTGTATGAAATAACGTATTATGTTTAAACATCTTAAAAAGATTTGACATTCCTGCTTAGTGTCCTTAACCAAACTGCATCTAGTTAAAATTTGTAACAAATAGCCCTCTTATGAGTCTCATTTATGCCCTTTTCTTTTTCAGATCTAAGCCTTTCCTCTGTGTTCATTAGATAAAATGAAAAAAAGCAGTGAAGCTGTTTCCATTTTCAATAGTATCAGTGTTTTCACGCATTATTTGAGATAAACCCAGAATTGTAGGAAACTTCCCATCACAATAACAAAGGTTCAATATTCTATTTCAAAAATTGTTGAGGTAACACAGCAGTTGGAATGATTTTTAGGTTGAGTATTTACACAATGCAAGAAAACACCTTTTTACAAATGGAATTATGTAGGTTGCGTTGACCTTGTAGAACCTGAGTTATGACAAGCTTCCTGAAGTATTTTGGAAGATAGTACTTCCGGAAAGGACATTAGGAAAGACTAAACAGTGGACAATCAATCTTGGGACTATGAATTTTATGCTGGAATAAAGTAAATTATCATGTTCAGGTGTTTAAACAATTTTTTTCTGGTCAGAGGAGAATAAAATCACAGAGCTATAAAGATCATCTTTGATTTCAGAGATGTGGAAATTGAGTCACAGAGAAGTTGTGATTTGCCTGAAGCAGTACAGTGAGTTGTACACTAACATTCACAGTCCATTGCACTTTCCTTTTGTTTTGCTGATAAATTCGTCCCAGTGCTTGCATGTGTTTCTGTGTCATCCGAGATGGGAAACTTCATCTTGGTGTGTGCATGTGTTAATATGTCATTGGAGATAGGAAATAATGCCTATCCAAACTAATGTTTATCAGTAAATAGAACTTGGTTTGTGGTCAAGGGTTGCCAACTGTATATATGTTGTTTCCCCTCACAGCTGCAAATCAGGCCAAATCTATGGAAGGTTCTCCACTTTCCTAAAGTTTGGGCAACTTTGGGTAAACAGTAGTGATGCAGCACACAGTTTTGGTGGTCTTTGCAGTAAAAGATGAAATTAAGTGGTTAAGTGAACAAATAGAAAACTGCTGAGAGTGAATGAATTTCTTTGGATTCCCTCACTGAACATAACTACTGTTCTTCTGATTCTGCATTTGGTAGTAAGGAACACTGGACTGGGGAAGGAAGGGGCAAGAAAAACTAGAGAAAAAAAATGACAAAATAACCTTTAGCAATTTAAAATATTTACTTGAGCAATTTCCAAAGATGTTCTTTTAGTAAGAAATTACATATAATTTTAAACTAATTCATACTCTTATGTGGAGCCCACAAAGGGTCAGAAATCTTTGGACTAAATATATTCAGGAAGAACATGAGAAAGAGCTAAAAGACACATCAGGGAGAGATCAAACTAAAATGAAAACCCAGAGGTTTGAATATTGGTTGTCTTAACGATTGAGGATCTTTTATCTCTGAAGCATTCTCAGAACAACTGAATTTTGAGAAATAATTTGGTGGATAGAATGTGAGAGTCACAAAATATAAATGCTATTCCAGGTGAAGGGAATAGTGCCTTGAAAAATTGGTGGTGGAGAAATGAGGAACAAGCTAAACCAAATTTAAAAGATCTAGATTGATCAAGCAGTCATATATTTTGATAGTTTCATAGATCCATAAATATATAGTTTCTTATATCTTGCTTTGCTAGCTTTAGATGACCCTGAATAAATTACTTATAAATTAGAATCCAGAATCATAATCCAGAATAGCATATCCACAGATTTTCAGAACTGGTTGCTGAATTTTCTCAGAGAAGAAAATTGGCTAAGAAATGCTCAATGTCTGCCTTCGGTGTTGTTTTCATAATTTGGTATTGCTTTAGACACAAGTCCTAGAGTCCTGTCATATATATTCATTAAAAAACCCTTACAAGTAGCCATCAAGCTTTCCCCTTGTAGTCCCATGAGATTAGAGCTTCTTAATTAAATATACTTGAGAGAGAATTATATTTAATTGTAAACAAATTCCCTCAACAAAAAAATAGCATTTGAAGTGCCTTCTGCTTGGCTTGTAGTGGAATCCAGTTTTCTAATATGTGCAAAAATCTATCTTGTTTCAAAAATAAAAGAGTTGCAAAGTAAATGGGCTTTCCCACAGAGCTTATATAGGTATCATACAAGGAAGTGGAATTACTTGATTCTTTTTAGATTTGTTCTCCATTTGGAATAGCAGTAACCGTAGTTTTCCCCCTGTGAAACAATGGAATCATGGTTTTCATTTGTTGTGAGCATTTAACATGCAAATGCCATTACAGCTAATGGTGGGAAAAATCCTATAAACTTTAATAGCCATCATAGGAAAAGTGTTGGCAGAAAAATTCCCCGTAAGGAAATAGTGTAACAAAATAATCACAGCCAGCTTCTTGTCATATTTGATACCTGCTCAGTGTAACCATTTATCTCAATTATGCTTCATGACTTAAAGCTAAATTAAATAGATCCAAGGGCAATTATAAATTTAAAGACACTTGCTCACTGTCATCTCACTGTGAGTTGTTACTTTATTATGGCTTTGCTGCTGACTTCTGTAATCAGCTAATCAGAAATCAACACAAAATTCCTGGCAGGACCAGGGTGCTTACCTGTCACATTTTGCAAAAGATAGCCAGAATCTGATTAGTCCAGTTTTATTCTTGAAGCATTTTAGTCTATTATGAGTTAGAATAAGGCATACAGTATATTCTTGAATGTTCCTTTTGTTTGGCATAATGAAAGCATAATAGACTATTTATAAATTATACCTTTTGAGAGTGGGAAAATTTGAACTGAAATTTCTTCTTCCTTTTTTTTTCTTCCACATTAGTGGTGAAAGTTGTGAGACTTGGGTTTCTGACTTAGTCTCATTTATGTACTGTGTAATTTACAAATGACGCTTTATGGGCATGATGTATCTGTGCTTGTCTTGCTTATAGTAAATGGGCCTGAGCCTAATGGTTGTGAAGTATTGCAACATTTACCAACATGAAAAGTCTACAGTGAAAAACAGTGTGCTTTAACGTGAAATCAAATAGAAATACAGAGTTTCATTTTCAAATGGAGTCATGGCTGGCATCACCTCATTTTCTTCATTCGAGGAGGAAAACATTAACACAAGATGTAGTTGTCCTCCAATTCATTTGATCTAATTTTCAACTTCTAAAGAATCAAGTCTTGATGTTTATTCTTTCAAACTTGTCTTACTTATAATGAAGAAGAAAGCAGTCCAGAGTTTTCTGGTGTGTCTGAGGTTTTTTTTTTCCTTTTGGGAAATGATTCTTATGCAAATTGTCATGTTCTGGGGACACTCAAAGGAATTAACAATGGGAGACTGCTTCTTGTAATATTAGATTTGCAAATGTTTGAAATAAAACCAGTTCTAGAACATAAAATGATGGTTCTTTATAATGCGACTTGGAGTTTCAAAACATTCACCCAGTTTCTTGGAACATGTCAGGCGCAATATCAGCATTGTTTTAGACGCTGAGGATGTAGTGATGAATAAAGCAGAGGAGGTTTATACCCACTTTGAGCCTACATTCTAGAGGGAGATACAGGCAAAACAAAACAAAACAAAAAAACAGATGAGTTGAAATCACAGCAAGTTCTATGAAGAAAATAATCACAATGATTTGATAAAGAGAAATGGGGAGATGGTGTCAGGGTTAGGGTTTTCTGAGCAGGTGGCATTTGACCAAGAACCAGGGATGAGATGGAGCCAGGCCTGAAGAGGGCCATGGTTAGCGTGTTCTCAGAAGAGGGAACAAGAAGGACCGAAGGCTCCAAATCCAAATTGGGTTTATGTGTTTGAGGAAGAGACAGGTTGTCCGTGGGTGGAATGGAATTATATGAGGGCAGCATGGAAGACAAGGATGAGTTAATAGTACAGGGTTCCACAAGAGGTCAGGAGCACTCTCCGTGCAGCGGAAGGTCACTGGAGGGATGTAAGGAAGACAGTGACAAGATCTGATTTACATTTGTAAGAGCTTACTCAGGCTGCTCTGTGGAAAGGGAGTGTAGTGGGGTTAAAGGGTGGGTGTGGGAATAAGGGTAGAAGCAGTGAAACCAATTAGGAGGCCATTGCAATATTGGGGATCTGCAAAGTCAATATCTTACTTGATCATGGTGGATGTTATTAAAAATAGTTGTAATTAAATAAGTTACAAAGTTAAGAGGGTAGGCGCCATCAGGTGAAAAGCAGAGAAACTGGAATGATCTGTACCTGGGTTGATTCTCATTTGGCTGGAAAAGAAGGCATCCAAACATATGCTGTGTCTTTGACAAATACTTAAAGCTTCCTTTGACAAACATCATGTGAAACTTTCTCTGGCCAGCTTTTAAGGGAAAGAAAGCTACACTGAAAAGCAAACGCATTTTTTTTTTCTTGTGACTCACAGATATTGACAACAGAAGCAAAAATGACACAGAAAATGAGGTATTATTGGTGAATGTTGGTGGTGCTGACATATAGGGTAATTCAGGAAAAAAACCTCTCTTACCTCCAGGCAAACTGAATAGTTGTGTTCACTGTTCACTCTGCTATTTCTGTAGGAATAAGCCATATAAACGTTAGTGGATTAGTTAAGTCTATTTCCACTCTTATCTCTGCCTCTCATCTCCCCAAATGCATAGTTCAGATATTCCAGAAAAGGTTCACCTGCTGTGATTTTGTCCTCTTTCCAAGAAGGATGGGTCTGGTGCAGCAGCTGGAAGTATATTTCCTTCTTTGGGAAGATTGCAGTGAGCCTGATGTTCAGCCCAGGGGCATCTGTGGTTATGGTGCCTGCAAACAGCATTCTCATAATCCAGTCTGGATACAGTTTTTATAATTGAACAACAAAAACATCTGACAGATGTGGGCAGGGTAATTTGAAAGCTAGATGGCACAAAGAAATCAAGTTCATTTTCTGTCAAAATCAAATCTTTAAAAAATGGTACAAAACTAGTCCTTAGTTTACAGGTTGAGAAAGGTAATATTAATTACAGGCAGGTGGGAGGAAGTTCCTGGTCCCTCCTTCACTCCTAGATCTCTTGCAGTCTCCTTGCTTTTTAGCTTGTTCATTTCCATGGAACTAGCAAGATTGCTGATTCAGTAGGTCTATTATTCCCAAAGGTTTGCAAACCACTGAACACATCTAATGTACAGCTTGCCCAATTTTAGCGAACAGCTAACTTCACAGACGCTAATGAGGCCAATTATTGGCAAGTGAATTTGAAGTGAAGAACACATTAGATTTGCCACTATAGCTGTTATTTGTTTATCAGGATTGATTGAGGCAAACTTTCTTTTGATCATTACATCTGATTGATCACTGCACATGGCATTATGAAAGAATGAGGTTTCCAAGTTAGATAGCTACTTGTAAGAAAAATCTCTACCTTGCAAGGGCAGAACATGTTTCCCTATCCATTTCAGTGTGAAAGCCTAGCCATTAAATTGGAATGGATCCTAATTAGTCTCCTTGCAAATCTCTAAAACTTTTTGGTCTTTCCTGTTGAGCAGAACTTAAAAGAAGCCTAAATTTCTCCCTTGCCCACGTAGAGTCAATATCAAAGAAAATAACTTGCATGGTAATGCTGCTGAAAATGAGTGCAGACATAGCAATCTTGATTTGAAGTGGCATTGGAAAGTATAATTTGATTCACCCAGCCAAATGATTACTGCAAGTACAGATCATCAGCATGGCCCACTCCAGGACATTTGAATTGCTGATGAGCTGACAGCTAATTGCCAGACTGAGTCTGCCTCTTGAGCTTCTGCCTGAGAACAGAGGGAAAAAGCCCCATAGCTCCTACAAACTCCTAACCTGGACGGAGGCTATTTTTCCATGTTGGAAATATGTCTTTTAGGATGATTGTCTCTCTGATCATACCGACCAGCTGTTGTTAGCCCAGTATCCATACCTTCATTGTCCTATAATTGCACCATAGTTTTCCTTTTGTGAATCCTGTCCCTGGGTCTTATTCCTTACCTTGGGTGGGGCTGATTCCACTTCTCAGTTCTAGGGGTGGGCTTATGACCAATGTTTAATCAGTGAGCTATTATATTCTTCTGGTCACAATGATTGGTTCATAGGTAGGCCAGGACCTGGGTTGGGCCAATTAAAGCCAAACCCTGGACTTTTCTGAAACCATTGAGAAAGAGGTGTGCTGCTTTCTTCTGTAATTGTAAGGTGGTAGAAAGTGAGTCTGGAACTTCCATGGACCACCAAATAGAGAATGCAAGGCCAAGAGTAAAAGATAGAGACAGTGTTTTACAATTTCTTTTTTTTTTTTTTTTGAGACAGAGTCTCGCTCTCTCGCCCAGGCTAGAGTGCAGTGGTTGGATCTCGGCTCACTGCAAGCTCTGCCTCCTAGGTTCACGCCATTCTCCTGCCTCAGCCTCCCGAGTAGCTGGACTGCAGGCACCCGCCACCGTGCCTGGCTAATTTTTTTTGTATTTTTAATAGAGACAGGGTTTCACCGTGTTAGCCAGGATGGTCTCAATCTTTTGACCTTGTGATCCGCCCGCCTCGGCCTCCCAAAGTGTTGGGATTACAGGTGTGAGCCACTGCGCCCGGCCGAGACAGCGTCTTTGGCCTGGCTGTGAAGCTCATGACATTGTCAAGCTCACAGATTTAGCTGTGCATGTAGCTAGATGTACCTTTAGACTTTCTAGGTCCATGAGCTAATAAATGACCCCTCCTCTCTGCTCTCATTTTCCTTCATGCTGTCACTGGCATCAAAAAAGTTCTAACATCCATGATGAAAGCAAGAGAGAAGGGGTAGAGGATTTTAGATTTGCTTTCTTCACACTTTTCCAGTTGGTTCTGGGAATCATAACTTCCTGAAGAAGTACAGGCAAACCTCAGATATATTGTGGGTTTGGTTCCAGACCACTGCAATCAAACAAATATAGCAATAAAGTGAGTCACACAAATTTTTTTTTTGTATTTTCAATGTACGTAAAAGTTATATTTATACTACACTGTAGTCTAGTAAGTATGCAATAGCATTATGTCTAAAAATGTAGATATCATAATTAAAAATACTTTATTGCTAACAGATGCTAACAGTCATCTAAGCCTTCAGTGAATCATAATCTTTTTGCTGGTGGAAGGTCTTGCCTTGATTTTGATGGCTGCTGACTGATCAGGGTGGTGGTTACTGAAGGTTGGGGTGGCTGTGGCAAGTTCTTAAAATAAGACAACCGTAAACTTTGCCATATTGATTGACTTTTCCTTTTATGAAATATTTCTCTGTAGCATACAATGCTGTTTATAGCATTTTACCCATGGTAGAACTTCTTTTAGAATTGGAGTCAATACTCTTAAACCTTGCTCTTGATTTAAGAATTATGTTTATGAAATATTCTAAATCCTTTGTTGTCATTTCAATAGTTCATAGCGTATTCACCAAGAGTCAGTTCCATCTCAAGAAAACACTTGCTTTGCTCACCCGTAAAATGCAGTTCCTCCTCTGTTCCAGTTTTATCATGAGTTTGCAGCAATGTAGTTACATCCTAAGACTCTACTTCTAATTCTAATTCTCTTGTTATTTCCACCACTTCTGAAGTTGCTTCCTCCACTGGAGTCTTGAACCCCTAAAAAGTCATCCATGAGGGCTGGAATCAACTTCTTCCATACTTCTCTTAATATTGATATTTTGACCTCCTCCTATAAATCACAAATATACTTAATGACATCTAAAATACTAAATCCTTTCCAGAAGGTTTTCATTTACTTTGACCAGATCTATCTGATAAATCACAATCTATGGCAGCAATAGTCTTATGAAATGTGTGTCTTAAATAATAAGACTTAAAAGTCAAAATTACTACTCAATCCATGGGCTGCAGAATGAATGTTATATTAGCCGGCCTGAAAGCAATATTATTCCCTTGTATGTCTTCATCAGAGCTCTTGGGTAACCAGGTACATTGTCAATGAGCAGTAGTATTTTGAAAGGAGTCTCTTTTTCTGAGCAGTAGTTCTCAACAATAGGCTTAAAATATTCAGTAAACAATGCTATAAATAAATGCTCTTTCATCTAGATTTTGTTACATTTCTAGAGCACAGGTAGGGTAGAATTAGCATGAGTCTTAAGGGCCCTAGGCTTTTTTGGCTGTGGTTAATGAGCGTTAGCTTCACCTTAACAGTCACCAGCTGCATAACAAAAGAGTCAGCTTGTCCTTTGAAGCTTTGACTTCTCCTCTCTAGCTGTGAAAGTCCTACGTGGAATTGTCTTCTGATAGAAGGCTATTTTGTCTACATGAAAAATCTGTGGTTTGGTGTAGCAAACTTCATCCACAATCCTGGCTAGATCTGTATAACTTTGCTGCAGTTTCTCCCTCAGCACTTGCTGCTTCACCTTGCACTTTAATATGATGGTGATGGCTCCTTTCCTTATATCTCATGAACCAACTTCTAGCTTCATATTTTTCTTCTGCACCTTCCTTACTTCATTCAGCCTCAAAAGAATTGAACAGAGTTAAGACCTTGCTCTGGATTAGGCTCTGGCTTAAGGGAATGCTGTGGCTGGTTTGGTCTTCTATCCAGACCACTCACACTTTCTGCATACCAGCAATAAGGCTGTTTGACTTTCCTATCATTTGTGTGTTCACTAGAGTAGAACTTTCAATTTCCTTCAAGAATATTTTCTTTGCATTCCCTACTTGGTTAACTGGTACAAGAAGTTCAGCTTTTGGGCTATCTTGGTTTTTGATATGCTTTCCTCACTAAGCATAATCATTTCTAGCTTTTAATTGAAAGTGAGAGATGTGTGACTCTTCCTTTCACTTGAACACTTAGAGGTCATTGTAGGGACATCATTAATTGACCTAATTTCAATATTGTTTTGTCTCAGTAAATAGTAGGTTTGAGGATAGGGAGAGAGATGGGAGAATGGCTGATTGGTGGGGAAGTCAGAGCACATATAACATTTATTGATTTAATTTGTCTTATATAGGTGTGATTCATGGCATCCCCAAACAATTACAATGCTAACACCAAAGATCACTGGTCAGAGATCACCATAACATATAATAATAATAAAAACGTTTGAAAGATTGCAAGAATCATCAAGATGTGACACAGAGACCGAAAGTGAAGACATATTGTTGGAAAAATGGTGCTGATAGGCTTGCTCGATGTAGGGTTGCCACAAACCTTCACTTTCTAAAAAATGCAGTATTTGTGAAGTGTAATAAAGTGAAGTGCAATGAAACATGGTGTGTCTGTACTATTTGTGTCTTTTTGTCCTTCCTATGCTACAGAAATATGGGGTATCTGACGTGTTTATACTCCTCTAATGTTGGGAGTGGTGTGACTTGATTCCAGTGAGATGTGGCCAGCAAAATTGCTCAACAGAAGTGTTTAATTAGATTCCAGGTGACAACTTGAGATTCATTCTGTAGGTTACTCACTGGTTTGTTCCATGGAAAAAGAAAATCAAAGTGAATTCAACTTATGATGAGAGGCAGCTTAGATAACTGGATAAGACTTTTGTTGTCCCAGTGTTTCAGTGTAACTCTTAGGACGATCTGGTTTTCATTAGGGCACCTTTAAATAAAACTTGTCTCCCAGAGTATAGGAGAGAGAACATGGGCACTGACATGTAAACAGAAGTACAAATTCTGATATCTCTACTAACTGGGTGATCGCTGTAGAATTATTGACACTTTCAGGGTTTCATTTTAGTTGTCTGAAAAATAAGAATGAAAATACCTCATTTACAGACTTATCATAATTATTATATATATAATTGAACTGTGGCAAGTGGGCTCTGAGCCATTCCACAATTGTCTTTCTTAGAAAAACTGAAATACAGGGCATAGTGGTTGGTGGGTGTTATGTTCTAGTCACCAGACCATCTACTAAAAGGAAGGCCAAATCAATCCCCTCTATATGAGAGGTACTGCGTTCCCAAGGCTTCATTTCACAAAGCAATTGCTTAAGTTGTCTCTGACTAAAATAATCTCCTGGTCAGAGGGAACAAATTAGGCCCAGAATATAAATGTATATTATTTGCAGAGGAGGAAAGAGAAACGCTAAGTAAAAACAGGAAATTGGAATATTATGTGTTGAGAGAGCAATTCCTTTCATCCTTGCAGCTAATGGGCTGAGCAAAAGTGAACAATTTGTTTCATGTGATGATTTGCTAATACTAACTGACAAGGTTTCCATTTTGAGTACCATTCCACATTCAGCTGCTTGTTTTGTAGTGCAGTAGTGCAATTATCCGTCTTTTGCATTGCATAAACAGAATGGCTCAAATGTATGTGAGGAATAACCATAACTGCTTAAGTCCTTCCTGTTAAAAAGAGGGAACAAGGGAAAGGCAATATGGAATGTCTCCTACTTTCCTTAAAGTAACCATCTGTTTCCTTTCTGATGTCCTCTTTGCTGGAGAATTCACTTTTAGAAAAATATCCTAATATGGGAAGGGGAACAATGGTTGGGTTCATTTTCCCTTTGAGCTTTATTTTTGTCTCCATTTTGTCTTTGTTGTAAATAACATTGAAAGGAACACTAATTCTAACCATCAGCCTAGACACAGAGCAATTACGCTTGTGGCTTGCCTGTACATGGGGAACTAGGGTAGGCCTTGGGAGAGCTGACATATGACAGCCTACCTCATTTCAGTAGGGTTTATAATTAAAACCGGTTCAGTCTTAGCTTCATTTTCCATTTCCTACATTTATTTTGTTGACTTTTATTTTTGTGTCACTTGTATAATTTGGGTTTGCTTGGCAAACTAAAGGGAGCTTTATTATATGTGACTCATGGAATCCAAGAGCAGGGATGCAGCGGCCTTCAAAAGGAATGAGAGCTGGGAACTGAGAAGATTTCAGAATTTTCTCTCTGCCTCTACTATGCCTTCTCTGCACATCGGTTTCACTCTACTGTCTGTGACTCTCTTTTCTTCTTTTTTCTCTGCAGATGGGATTTTTCTACTTACCCATATGCATGATGGAATATGGTGACTTTATAACTTCTGAGGTAAAGGTCATAGTTTTAGACAAAGACAGACTCATTGCCTCTGAATTCAAATTCCATAATCTTGGGAAAGGGAATCTGATAGATCCAGTGTGGGTCAGCTGTCCATTCCTGGTCCAATTGACTATGGCCAGCATAGAAGGGTAAAGTGGCTTAGATATGACTGCAGAGACACTCACCTGTAGGTAGGGAGGCTTTCCTGGAAGCAGAAGGGCTGGGCAGAAATCTGAATAGATCTCTAGAGTCCAGACTACAACCATTGTCCCTTTGGAAATCACCATGCCTAATGGAGCTTGTCCTTAGATCCTAAATGATCAGACTAAAGGGGTTCAATTTATGAACCCCTTTTGGATTTGCTGGCTTTTCATCCAAATATTCTAGTTTTTAGAGTGGGTAAAGTGAACTTATATTACAGGTAAACCACCTTTAGCCCATCCATTCTTTCCTTCTCCCTTTCCCTCTCCCTTTCCCTGACGTCAGCTCAAATGCAGGCTGGAAAGGCTTCTAGTAAATTGGTGGCTGAAGAGGAGGAATGATGCAAACAGGAGGAGCATCAAGAGAGGTAGGAGGCTTAGCAAAGTGTGGTCCCAGAAGCCTGAGGAGAAGCATCTTAAACAAAGGTTAAGGAGATATGGACTGTGCAAAACTGAGACCATGGTCTCTCCAGAAGTGTTGGTGGAGACCCTGGGCACTGGGCATAATGATGAGCAAAGCTGGACAACTTCCATGCTTGTGGAGTATGTGTTCCTACAGAGATTCTTGCCTTATTCTGGGAGTGGTATTTTTCTTGTTTTTAAGAAGTAGGTAGATTTTATTGCAGCCTGGTTTCTATCAAGATACTATCAGAAAAACAGGCTGACACAACAGATCTAAATCTCATTTGACTAGCTAGATTTCATATATGTGAAAGCTTTGTGGTACCTACTGTGGGAAAATTTGGTCCTGCTTATTTTCTCTGTCTTAAACTTTTCCAAAACTTTTTTCCTTGTATACTGTGTCCTTGTGGTTATGATGGTTTGTGCTGTATAACCTAGAAAAATGAGGGCAGAGGCTGAAGTTTAAGAGGTCTACACAGTGTCAAACGTCTTCTTTAATCTTAGAAAGAAATTGACTCATTAACTTCACTCAATGCTTCAGAGTTGAAGCTTTTACCTAACAAAAAATGTTGGCTTCAAATGACCACATTTGAGTTTTAAAGATATTTGTAGTTTTCTTGTCTCTTTTTTGAAACATGTAGTATTTTTTTAAATGAGTTAAATTGTTTCACTAATCATAGTTTATCATTTAGAATTACCTATCTCAATCCAGAGAAAATTAGATAACTGAGCACTAATATTAATTAACTTGTTTTCTCAAGATGATTAGTTTAATATCCATTATTTTTAGTATGATTGTTACACATAAAGTGACACCAAAGAGAATGTAACAGTGGATTTGTCTGAACACAACATCACGTTGTCCTATATTTCAGAGGCACACACACATACAATTAAACAATGTCTCTCTTTTGGTTTATAGAATAATTTTCTTTTTCTTCTTCCTGAATCACATTTAAAGCTTATCAAAGAATCAGTATTCTTCCAGTATTGATGAAGAAACAGGTTTGCTTAGGCTTAGCAGATATGTGGATATTTTTTTTCTCTGTGAAATCGGGGCTAAGATGTAGACGCTGGGGTTAAAGAACACAATTGAGTACTCAATTCTGCTACTAACAGGGGTAATTGGCCTAAATGCTCTATTTTTTTTCTGTGAAATGAGAACTAATAATGGTACTGATATTATAGAGTGGCTGTGAACACTAAATGAGATGATACATTTAAAGCACTCAGAATGGCACCTACCACCTATCCCACAGAGTTTTTGTCAATAGAATAATATATGGGAAGCATTTGGCCCAATGCTTGACACATGACATTTGTAGACACCCAATAAATATGAGCTATTATTATTTTATCCATTGTTCATTTTTAATCATAAGGTTATATCTTCATAACTTTTCTTTTTTCATACAATTAATATATCAATACACTGGACATGAGCCAAAGACATAAAAGAGTGGAGAACGAAGTGTGAACATTTCCCTTTGTCACCCACCTCTGTCAAACTCAATTAACTGTCAACCTTTGCTTTAGGGAGATTTTGATCACCTCATAATCTCTATCAGTCCTTCCACACCATTCTTTAACAGTGACATTTTCTGTTTTTTTCAGTTTATTCAAAGGCTCAAGCAAACACAGCTTGGAGCTGGGGATACTCTTAAAATGTCTTATCTCTATGTCCACTTTCTATGCATTGTATTCACAAACATACACCTTTCTTGGTGTACTTGTGTTTGGGACCATATTATACATAGTGTTCCTTTACTAGCATTTTAAAACTTAGAGTTATTTCCATATCAAATTGTGTAAGTCAATCTCATACATTTATTAAACAACTCTGTCACATCTATAGTACAAATAAGTCACAATTCATTAACTATTTCTGTTTTAATGGATGTTTTTATTTGTAATTTTCCATGATTACACATGATATTGCAATAAATATTCTTTATATAGTTTATATGATTTCTGAACATATGTGGCTATTTCATGGGATAGATTTATTTCTGGAAGTGTAATTTCAGCATCAGGGAATGTGCACATTTACAATTTTGATAGCAATAGACAATTCAGAAAAACTTAATGAAAAACATATCATCAATTTAAACTGTCACTAACTGTAAGAATCCTCATTTCTCATATACCTACTAATATGCAATGTCATCAATCATAAATATTTTTTGCCAATTAGAGAAGCAAAGGATAAAAATGTCATTTTATTATTCAATTTGAATTCTTAATTGCCAATAAGATTACATCACTTTTTTTGGAAGCTTTTAGCTATGATTTCTTTGTGTCCTTTTCTTAGCCCCGCCCTTTTTCTTCTCTCCTTGCAAGACTCCAGTGACAGGAATGTTAGATCTTTTGTTATAGTTTCCTAAGTCCCTGAGGTTCTTTTCATTTTTTTAGTCTATTTTCTCTCTGTTATTCATATTGCTTAATTTCTGCTGCTCTATCTTCAAGTTCATTGATTTTCTTCCTGTCTCGTTTATTCTGCTGTTGTCTTTTGTTTCGGCTTTTGTATTTTTCGGTTCT
Source organism: Homo sapiens (assembly GCF_000001405.40). Classification (NCBI taxonomy): domain Eukaryota; kingdom Metazoa; phylum Chordata; class Mammalia; order Primates; family Hominidae; genus Homo; species Homo sapiens. The sequence goes on from NC_000012.12 coordinate 72,046,016, forward strand.
AAAATTTTTATCTGGTTCTTCTTTATATCTTCTATACTTCTGCTGAGACTTTCTATTTTTTGTTTGTTTCAAGTATGTTTGTAATAGTTTATTTCAAACATTTATATAATGGCTGTCTTTAAAATATTTGTCAGATAATTCTGCCATCTCTGTCATTTTGATGTTGGGATCTATTGATTGTCTTTTTCCATTCAAGTTGAGATTTTCCTGGCTCTTGATATGATCTTCGATGGAAAGCTAGACATTTTGGATATCACGTTATGAGACGCTCAGTCTCATTTACACCTTTTGTTTTTATTGGCTTCTTCCAACACCACTCTGGCAAAGAAAGGGGTGGAGCCTGTCTTGTTACTACCAGGTGGGGGTAGAAGTCCAGGTTCCCACTCAGCCTCTGTTGACACCTGGGATGGGGAGGGGCTCCTCTTACTGCTGAGAGAGGGTAGAGGGGTCTTGTCACTGCTTCCATGTCCCCATGTGGTCTTCACTGACACTGTGGGAGAGGACAGCCCCAGTTACTGCTCAGTGATGATAGAAGTCCCAGCTCCCTACTCATCCTTCTCTGACATCGTCCTGGTAGGGGGTTTGAGGTGCTTCCTTACAGCCTGGCAAGGAGGAAAGTCTAGGCTCCCCTTTGGATTTCGCTAGTTGGGGTGGGGCCACAGTTTTTTCTGCCATTTTGGCTGCAATAAAGTGGTATTGTCTTGGAAGGCTGCACATTTCCTGGTTCTTTGGGTGTAGACAGTGGCATTTGCTGGGGCTTTTTTTTTTTCTTTTTTGTCTGTACCTGTTGTTGTGTCTGTCTAGGTTGCTGGCTTCTCCAGCACCCAGTTTGGGATATATAAGCCAGAAAGGAAACCCAGGGAACTCACTGCTATGTTGTTCCTCAGATCCCAAGGTCTCCAGATGGTCTAACGTCTTTTCTCCAACTTTCAGAGTCTTCTTATATTTGTTTTACATATAATGTCCTGGAGAGTAAGAGGGAAACCAAGAAAGAGAGCCAGCGAAGGAGAGTAAAACACAGAGACACAGAGACAGAGACAAAGAGGTGATATTTGGTCTGCTAATTAGGAACTGATAATGGTTAGTAGGGGAGTAAGAGCACTATGCTTCCAGGTGAATTAATATTCTGACCAAAACAGGGTGAGAACCACAAAGATGTAGGTGGGTTCTCACCACTTCCCTCTGCCTTTTTTTCTTTTTTTTTTTTTTTGAGACAGAATCTCGCTCTGTCACCCAGGCTAGAGTGCAATGGCGTGATCTTGGCTCACTGCAGCCTCCACTCCTGGGTTCAAGTGATTCTTCTGCTGCAGCTTCCCAAGTAACTGGGATTACAGGGACCCACTGCCACACCCGCCTAATTTTTGTATTTTTAGTAGAGATGGGGTTTCACCATGTTGGCCAGGCTGCTCTTGAACTCCTGACCTCAGGTGATCTGCCTGTCTCAGCCACCCAAAGTGCTGGGATTACAGGCGTGAGCCACCATGCCTGGCCTACCTTTTCCTCTTGATGAGCTACACAATATACTCCTTGTTCCTTGCAGGTACAGATTGGCAATATGGCCCGTACAAGCACTGTTTGGGGTGCTGTTGTTACAGAAACACAACTGATGTCTCCTAGGGGTGGTAAGACAACAGGATAAGTGGTAAGTTGAAAAGTTTCTCTGCTTATGTATCATTGGAATGACCCAGCCCTGCTCTCAACTCTTCCTTTATGATTCGTGGGTAAAATTTGCAGAATTCATTCATTCAAAATATTTACTGAGCACCACCTATTCATTCATATGTACAGATTATGGAGCAAAGTGTCTTATGTGAGGGCATGTACGTTTGTGTCTCGTGTGTGTGAATATATATGTGTGTGTGTGTATATACACAGACACATAAACAAGACACATTGTGATAGAAACATAATCATGAACAAAAAAATGCACACATATTATGTTCATATGTGGATTTTACAATCAGAAACAGAAGACAGTAATGAAATAATCATAAAATTAATGGAAAATGTTAGTTTATCAGTTATAATGATTGCTGTTAAGGAGAAGTATTGGCTCTGGCAGTATCACAGGCTGTCTGGGAAATCTTTCCTGAGGGAGTGAAGTATAAGCTGAAATCCTAAGGACGATGATGAGGTAATGTGGTGAAGGAAATGGATGGACATGATGTGGGGAGGGAAAAGCTTTCCAAGAGGAGGCAACAAACAGCATACGTGACTTGGAAGGATGGACAGGTCATCAGCAGAGTGGCCGTGGATAGCATTATTTCTTTCCTAGTGTGTGTTTGGACCTTATTCATGCCTTGTGCAAATATTAGGTCCATATGGGCCAGCTTCTTGATTACAGAGAGTTACATTTAAGCCACATAATTATATGGGGCTTAATTAGGAAAACACACTGTCAACAAATAATTGAGTCTGTTTATGACTGGGTTTACCAGACCAAAGGGGAAAATTATAGAATATCAAATATGAGAAAATATCCAACTTTAACAATATTAGCTATGTATAATACACTACAGATATCCATTCCATTCAACTGCTATTAATTGAGCCCCTGTATGTGATATGGAAATGTGCCAAAATAGGGGCATTTCCCTTCACTAATGCCCAGGCTAGCTGGGAGACAGATCTGCAAATAAATATATCATGTACTGTCAGAAGATTTAGCCAAACTGAGATTTTAGCCAAACTCTGAGAAGAGGGTAGGATGTATTTCTGCATTTTTCTGGATCTGATCTCTCTTGCTCTTAAAGAGTAACTACTGAACTGGTCAATTCCTGAAAGATGTCTATTAGTTCTTACAAAAAAGCTACCAACATTAGTGACTAGCATGAGCAATTGAAGGTGCAACCCGGCCAAGCACGGTGCCTCACGCCTGTAATCCCAACACGTTGGGAGGTCGAGGTGGATGGATCACCTGAGGTCGGGAGTTCGCGACCAGCCTGACCAACATGGAGAAACCCCATCTCTACTAAAAATACAAAAATTAGCCAGGCATGGTGGCACATGCCTGTAATCCCAGCTACTCGGGAGGCTGAGGCAGGAGAATCACTTAAACCCAGGAGGCGGAGGTTGTGGTGAGCTGAGATCGTGCCATTACACTCCAGCCTGGGCAACTTGAGTGAAATTTCATCTCAAAAAAAGTGCAACTCATTTGGACTCCAGTTGGTATTTATTCTATGCCACTTATTAGGTTAATTATTTTGCATGGATATATTCTGTCTCCCCAAGTAGACTCTAAATTCCTTGAGAATAGGAATTGTGTATTACGTGTTTTTGTGTTCACAAAGCATTGTGCTTCACTCCGTAATATTTTTTTTGATGGAAGGCCAAGATAAATCAGGTTCTGGAAACTACTATCATATAAGTAGTACCTGTAGGAACAGGGAGATTTATGCAGCAGAATATCTACTGGTAGATAGAACTGTCTTCAGCCATGTAATTAACATCTGTGAATTAGCTACCTTAATACACTCCTATAAACATTCACAAAACTGTATATTTTGTCAATTATTTTCCACTGCTACTGCTAGTTTTACCAAATTATAGCCTAGGAGAAGCTTCAAGGGAATCAAACTTCTTTTGAATGATGTTTTTCTTTATCCTGTTTTTTTAAACTTTAAAATTTTTTTTTCCTTAAATGGACTTTTCATGATACTTGGGAGGGGACTTGGGAGACATTTAGGTTTTTGGAACATTTAAAAAATAATTTTGAAAAGCAAAGAAAGATGACAAAAATAACTTCCTGTTGTATGGAGTCTCGTTTATTATTTATCAAATACAATGCTAGGCTAAGCCTGAAATGTGTTATAGCATTAATCTTCACAACAGCCTGATGCGATAGATAATAAATAATAAAGATGTCTCTTTTTATTATGCTTTTTCCTTTTTAAGGTAAACAATCTGAAATTGAGAGAAGGTAAGTAACTTACCCAAGGTCATACCGAGTGCTGGTGCCGTTTTTTAAAACCTGGAATGACTGACCCCCACAGTCCAGTCTCTGACCTCTGTGCTATTCTGCCCTATTTGTGCTGAAATGTTACCAGTCACTGAAACTGCATAGATGAGCAAGACCTAATTCTTGCCCCCGTGTAGTCCATTGTCTAAAGCAAGAGGGAAGCCAGAGCCTGTCTACAGCTTAGCTCTGGAGTCAGGCTATCTGGGCTCAGATTCTGGCTCTACCACTTAGTAGCTGAATAACTGTTGACAAGTTACTAAACCTTTCTGTGCTTCAGTTATCTTGCTTATGAAATGGGGATAAAAATTTTCAGGGTTACTGCAAGGATTAAGTGAGATAATACATGTGAAGCACTTGGAATTGTACGTGGCAGTGCACACAGCAAGTGCTCAATAATGCTAGCAGCTATCATTACTATCCTTGGTCATTATTACTGAGGTCGGCCGAGACCAACTGGGCTGTCATACCCACTGAAGGAACAAGACTAGTTTGAGGATCTCGAAGGGACTCCTCCCATTCACAAAATGTGGGTAGATGAAGGGCCTGTTTGGGACAATTACTTGGAAATTTCCTGGTGCTTAGCTACCACAGCTCTGAAGAAGTTGCTTTTCTCCCAAGGACATATAGTGCCTCTCAAGCTCAGCATGTCTCCTTCTTCCCATCCAACATTAATATCCCATTTTGGCCAGGGCTTTAATTTATTTTTTCTCACTAACCAGAGACAATGATTTTGGTCCTACAGTTTATTTTTAGTTTATTAGGAAATAGAATAATTATGGAGTTGTAACCAGATCCTACACTTTTTAGGCAAATCTACTAATTTGGAGAACTGAGTTCGTGTATTAGCTGTGACATAAACTAATATCAGCAAACCATTATACCTCACTGAACCTCAGTTTCTTTTTGTGTATAAAATGAGAATTGGATGTATAGTTTGCAAGACTACTTTCCTTTCTAAAATTCATTTAACATGATTTTGTAATTTTGTTTCTATGTGTCAATATATAGAGGTCGGATTTTTCCCCAGACTACAAAAACCTATATACTCCTCTGTCATACATGGTTATTAAAGGTTTTTAGGTGTTTCAAGAGCTGATTAGTCTGCCAGGAAGTGTGTTAACACTGTGGAACATCTCTCAGTGTCCTCCCCTCATATTATATTAGTCACTTTCCTTCTATACCCAATCACTAATTGCAACTCCCTCTAATCACTTTTGGGAAACCTCCCCAGAGGTCTGTTTGAACCATACAGGCAGATAGATATTCTTTTACCTCAGTCACCTTTTAATTTTTGCTTTCTCATCTACCCATGTTTACAGGCAGATTTCTCACATTAGTAGTGTATTGTTTTTTATCATTGCCAAAAAATTACCCCAAATTAGTGGCTTAAATTAACACAAATTTATTACCCAAGTTCTACAGGTTAGAAACCCAACACCACTCTCACTGTGCTAAATTAAGATGTCAACAGGACTGCACTCCTTTCTGGAGGCTCCAGGAGAGAATCTGTTTTCTTGCCTTTTCTAGCTACTCAAGACTGCACCATTCCTTGGCTCATGGCTCCCTTTTTCCATCTTCAAAGCAAGCAATGGCAGGTGGGTCTTTACATTGCATCCATTCCGTCTGACTGTGCTTCCATCATCACATCTTCTCTGACTCTTCTGCGTCCCTTTTCTACTTATAAGGACTCCTGTGATTACATTGGGTCCACCTGGATAATCCATGATAATCTGCCTATTTCAAGGTTAGCTGATTAGAAACCCTAGTCCCATCAGCAGTTTTAATTCTATCAGCTACCTTGATTCTCTTTTGCCATGTAATTAAAAATATTCACAGGTTCTGAGGATTAGGAAATGAACCTGTTTGGTATTCTGCATACCACAAATAGACGGAGACATCTTCTAAAACCATAGTTCTACCATCTAGACTTTATACACTGCTTCATCTACATCTTACACTTCCTAACAAGATAAAACAGTGAAGAGTTTTAAAGGGATCAATAGAGGCACCGGCTAAGAGTTGCCAAAAATTTCAGGTTGGTGATATTAGGTTTGAAAGCCTTCTTCATATCCCCTATTATTTACAAGCTTAACAGATTTACAGGAAGAAGGGAATTCCTTGCTTTCTGCTCATACACTCCATCCTAGAATACAAAGCTTATTCCCCGACCAGCTGCCTTTTGTATGCCCGGGGTTACAGAGATAAACCAGATTCCCAGGTGCTCCACTGTAAGAGAGAATCAAAAGAGAGTAAACATCTTTGGTCCCTTTGTCAATGACAAGGCTTCCAGCAGGGCCGAAGTTGTTCCCTGCCGAAAAATATGAAATAACATATTAGAAGCTCCTAGTAGAGTGCCTCGCGTATGCTAGAGACTTGGTAAAGAATATCATTATTCTTTATGCAATATCTGGTACACGCAGACAAAGAGTATGGCTAAGAGAGAATTGTATAAGAATTATTTTTTCTGATTTGCCCTCTGTTTTATTAGAAGCTTTTTCAACACAATCTTTTTCCTATCAGAAAAATAATGTCTTTTCATTACAGGATGTTGGATAAATAAAAAAAATTAAAAAGTAAATAAAGTGGCATGCTGTATTAGTTTGTTCTCACACTGCTATAAAGAATTACCTGAGATGGCTGGGTGCAGTGGCTCACGCCTGTAATACCAGCACTTCGGGAGGCTGAAGCAGGCGGATCACGAGGTCAGGAGATGGAGACCAACCTGGTTAACATGGTGAAACCCCGTCTCTACAAAAAATGCAAAATATTAGCCAGGCATGGGGGCACACGCCTGTAGTCCCAGCTACTCAGGAGGCTGAGGCACGAGAATAGTTTAAACCCAGGAGGCAGAGGTTGCAGTGAGCCGAGATCGCACCACTGCACTCCAGCCTGGGCAAAAGAGTGAGACTCTGTCTCAAAAAAAAAAAAAAAAAAAAAAAAAGAATTACCGGAGACTGGGCAATTTATAAAGAAAACAGGTTTAATTGACTCACAATTCCACAGGCTGTGCAGGAAGCATGGCTAGGAGGCCTCAGAAAAATTGCAACCATGGTAGAAGGGCAAAGGGAAAGTAAGCACATCTTCACATGGCAGCAGGAGAGAAAGAGTGAAGGGGGAAGTGTTACACACTTTTAAACAACCAGATCTCATGAGAACTCACTATCATGAGAACAGTAAGAGAGAAATCCACTCCCATGATCCAATCACCTTCTATGAGGTCCCTCCCCCAATATTGAGGATTATAATTCAACATGAGATTTGAGTGGGTACACAGAGTCAAATCATATCACTTGCATATCTACCCCATAAACATGACTACTTTTGACATTTTCGTGTATTTCTTGCTTTCATTCTTGCTCTCTTGCCATCTTAGAGGTTTTTGGAGCTATAAGCAATGGAAATCCAAACTCTCTTAATAAAAAATGGACATTTATTGAAAGCATATTTATGAAACTCAGGAACGTTAAGAAAGAATGTAACCAGTAACTGAACTGACAGCAGTAACAACTTATCTCTTCATTTCTCGAAGGCAGAATGTATTTCCAATCTTTATTTCCTTTTGGTGATTTTCTGCTCTTGAAGACTGGCTTTCTCAACTTTGGCCATGCATGTGGCTACCCCAGTTCTGGCTTTACATGGCCTTTGTATAGGTTTCAGAAAAGGCAACAAAGAACCCTCAAAATGCAGTGGTTTCAAAAGAAGTTTACTCAAAGAAGTTATCTCACTCCAGGTTGATAAGACAGGCCTACTCCCTGCAGTTATTCTGAGATCTAGATTCCTTACATATTTTTTTTGCTCTGTCACTCCCTAGAGCATTGCCCAGTTTGTCTGGATGAAGCTGGTTCAAAGGCATGCCCAAGTTACAATTCATGGGAGGGGGTGAAAAGCGCTAGTTCAGGAGAAATGGTTTACCTTTAGGAGACAATCCAGATGTTACATGTGTGACTTCCATTCATAGTCCTTTGACTTGAAATAAACCAGATAATTGTAGCTAGCTGCGAGAGGCTTGGGAATGTCAGATCTAGCTGGTCTTAAATGTGTCCAGCCACAACTGTGTTGCTATGGACAAAAGAGACTGGTGGACAACTGGCAGCCTCTGATATGACTTCCTAGTTCAAGAACAGAGCTACACCTCCTCTGCCTCAGTTCCAACTCTCTTGAATGGGGCTCTGATTGTACTAGTTTGGGTAAGGTGTCTACTCCAGTTTAGTCAGTCCTTGTCTTGGGAGACAGGATCATGTGGACTATGGCAACATCACAGGGGTTCCGGGAGAAGACTAAGAAGGAGCAAGTAATACAAAGTGCTCATCTGTATCTGAATATATGTGTTCCCCTCCCAAGTCTGGACACATACAAACACACAAATATTTGAGAATTATCTCTTTTTTATCTTTCTTTCCCCCTACATCAGTCTATGGATTTTATCTTTATTCCATCCATCCATCCATCCATCCATCCGTCCATCCATCCATCCCACCTCCACATGTTACCTGGTTCATTGAGATTTAAGTAAATTTGGCTTGACCCCGCTAAGTCAGAGAACATAGTTCTCCTTTCCTCCTGGACATACATCTAGATCACAATTCCTAGCCTTTCTTACAATTAGGTGTGGCCATATATGACTGAGTTATGGCTAACAGAATGTTGAACATAGAAATATCTTGCATGGTTATCCACTCTTTCTCTCTCTCCTACCAAGAGCTAGCTGATAGTCCAGGTTGACCTTGGAACCCGTGTGATGTACCCTTTATCAGCCTGGGAACTTAAATAACTGTGTGGAGCAGAGTTCATACCTTGTCACTTGCCACCCATTGAACTCTAATATGACATAGAAATAAATTTCTATTGCTTTAAATCACTGATATCTTGAGATAGCAGGTAGGGTTACCTTAATACGCTCAATAATTTCTGTCTTATAGGGTGTACAATACCCTAGCTATATTTTCTATCACTTCTTAGAAAAGTGATATTACATATTTTATGGTACCTCTCTTTTCAATTTCTTATTTCCTTAAAGCCTTGAAACTCACTCATCTCTCAACTCCTAGAGTGATTCTTTTCTTCCTTGCCTGCACCAACAAAGGGGAATGTGCAAATAGCTATTGTCCTTTGATTTTCTCAAAATACCATCATCCAAGGTATTTATATGCATGGCATAGTTTACCGAGGGTTCACAGCAATCTTAGTGAATTGGATATTTAGAAATCCATGTTCTTATAAGTCCTTACTTCACCTACTGTTGTGTTACTTCACTTCCTATTCCCTCTCCTCTTTCCATTTGTCTACTTTTCCTCCACCCTTTTTTGCTGAATAGTTTGTCTAGCCATTCTTTGGAAATTATTTTTAGCCTATCCGGGCTATCTCTGGAGAGCTTCCTTGTTCCCAAAAACCACAGTCACTAAGGGATCTTAATTTATTTTGACCTCTAAGCCAGATGCAAAGAAAAAACAAAAAACAAACCCTCTGGCATCCCTTGGGTTAATATGAAATGGCCCTTTAGACTATTGACTATGATGACAGAAAAAGTATAGCAAAATCCAGGCGGTAAGCTCCTTTAGAAAAAAATCAGAAGAAATGGCAACAATGGGTGCACATTCTCAGATACAACTGAGCTGGAGCTGAGTTTTGGTTGTCTGTATAGATTGGCAAGTGCTCTTCAGTATGCCACAGATGCCCCCACTATCACTCTTCCATGTTATCTCTTATACAGGGATCATTTCACTCATTTATGTCACTTGTCTGCTTCCTTTAGGCATATGAGCTTGCTACTTCTCTTCTATCTGGAAACAGTTTCTATCCTGTTAAGAACAAAGTGCTCAACTCTCAAAATAACAAATGTTCTCCCCTGTACACATATACATTGCCCATTTTTCTATTTATCTTGTCCATGGAAGACCCAAAAGTAACATATAAATGTATCATAATTTATCTATTTCTTTAAAGTTGTTAATTTAGGGTGTCTCCAAATATTTGTGTATAAGTGTTTATTTATTCTCCATGTTCACAGACCACATTTCTCGATGTAGTATCACTTGATGAAGACGTATGAAGAATTCATAGTACCTGTTACAGATCACTAAATTGTTCTGAAAAGGATGATATCCATAATGGGTATCAGAATCTTGCTTGCAGTGGTTAACAGGGTTACAACTCAGTCTTCAATCATGGCTTCTAAAATATCTGGAGGGGTTTTTAAATTTTGAACTTTAATTTTGACTGAGTTAATTGTATGGAATGAAAACTACATAGAATTTAGTATCTGGTTAACTTAAGTATAATTACATATGATAAACTATCAATGATGATAATGAGACCAGCATTTTAATTCACCTTTACTAAAGAGTGAGTACAAACCTGAGCTAAACATGTCTGAGAGAACAGTTTTGGTTCCAGTTTTTCCTCCTGGTCCATCCAAGTTTTGTTGATTCTTTCCCATGTATTTCATGGTGTCCTTGTTCTACATTAGAAGGTTATTTCCTTCAAACAGGACATTTCTCACTATTTGCAGCAAATTTTTAGTTTCCTTCTGCTTCTTAAAACTATACAGTCTATTTTAGTGTTCGGAAGAGACTGGTATTCTCTTCTATCATGCTAAATACTTCTCATCTGCTCCATCCTACCTTAATGGTATTTTTAAGGTCCTCTCCACAGTCTTTCTCTGTTCCGTGGATTGCCTAGTTATAGTAGTTTCATCTAGTATTTTGGATTTAGGCAGAAATATTAGGTCAAATTGTCTAGTAGCATAATCGCCAGGATGTTTTCTCTGTCACATTGTTAAGTGTCACTCAGGACTGGAGCAGATCAGTTTAATTATTTAACTACTTCTTAACCATATTCATGCAGCCTACACTGGTGAATGTAAAGTTACAATTTACTACAGCAAAACTCTTATTATGAGAAAAGCATTCCAAGGGAAACTTTAATGCAGAGATTCTCATCTATTTAGGAATTGATAAGCAGCCTGCCTTAAAGGAAAGTTTGTGGTTGATGCTCTTGTAACATTGTTCCTATTCCAATAATTACATGATGAGACTTTACACCAATAACAACAAAAATCAAAGTCACTGTCCAGTTCAACCAAGTCATGTTTTTTCCATGTTTATAAAGGATTTACTTTAAGAATGAATCACTGGATCTCTGTGTTTTGCTTGTCTAAAGTAGCATCAGAAGTCCATTAATCTAATTCAATCAAGACAGTAGTTGGTTAAAGAAGTTAACTGAAGAAGTTGCTTAAAATAGGAATTATTTTAAAAAGACACATTCAAGATTTTACTTACCTTAAAAACATGTATATTTGTATTCACTCATCAATATTTTGATGGAGACCCACTGTCTTCATTTCTAGTATGGATCCCCTGGTTGGAACTCTGCTTCATCTTTCTTGCATCAACCACACCCATAATTCATTGTCTGTGAGTTCTGGTTTTGCTTTTGTAAGTGAAGCAATAACCCAAAGACATGGGTAAAGCAGCCTGAGTGCTGACACCTTCTACGTTTTTATGATTCTTTAAAAATATTTTACGTTTGTCTCACTCACACCTAATCTGATAGCATGTTTCTTAGTGACTCACCTTTATTAAATCTTTCTAGCATTCCACGTGGTTTTCAGAGAAGCCACATTTTTGCATTCATATATCATTGACTTGTATAACGTCTCATGAAACTATGTCATTATGTAATTATAACATTGAATTTAAGAGGCACTAACAGTGTTGGAAACAAACATAACTGACTCTTGGCAAGCATCCAACTCAACTGGTGGGAGTAGAACCGAGTGAGCAGACCAGAGAGCAGTCTTTGCCAGGGGCTTTCTCTCATCTTTGGGCTTCAACAGAAAAGCTTTGCAGAGAAAGGGAAGCATGTGGATAGATAATCTGGCAAGTTGGCTGAGTGGAAATGGGTTAAGAGAGTTCTACTGTACTTTTAAGATCCTTATTAAATGCTTTATAGAACAATTTGAGTGCTATTTGCTATGATTTCAGTTAAGGTACGAAATATTTTGCAGAAATGCAGAATCTTTTACTTTGAGTTTCTGGAAAATTTTACCTTTTACATCATTGGCACTCTAACAGTACTCCTGCCCTAATCTTGGCAATTTCAATATCTGGATCGAATATTGGAAGGTGAACTTTCCAGTACACTGACTTCTCACTTTCTTCATCTCCCCTCCTCCACCTCTCTTGTCTTCCACCCTTCAGGTAGTTCTTTATTCTCAAAGTCTATACCCCATCTTTGTGGTTGTTGATACCTGCAATCTCTCCATAAGCTCTGTTTCAAACAACTGCTTCCTGCCATCACCACCCTGACTGTGAAGCTTCCTTCAGTAATCACAACTCTAAAAGTGCTTCCATGCAGTCTTTCACTTCCCCTCACTCCCCTCTTGTACACATTTCCCTTCCTCTCCAGCTTCAATTCCATGGTCATTCATTATTATTCCCTTGCCTGTGCTCTCGGCTTCCCTCATGTACCCTTTTTATAAGTTTTGTTTGGGAGAATCATAACCTGTATAAATCTAATTATCCCTCTACTCTATGGCTGCACCCATGAGACAGAATGTGATTGCAGATAAACACAGAACTATGTGATTGGTCTCGCTTTAAATTCGTGATCACTCACCTCAAGTGGGTCTTATGCAGCCTGACTTTATGTAGTGCATTTATTTTTCCATTCTCCTATCTGATTATTTCATACTTTCTCCTTTCTTATTGAATCCTCAGATCTCCTCCCTCAGTCTCTCTTAGCTGACCTTGCTTCCTGTTCCATTTGAAAAGTATAAGCAATAAAAGATACTTTCCTTATGCTCTTACTCAACACTGCTTGCCTTCTAGCATGAGTTTCAATATACTCTGCCTTCTCTTCGGTTTATCAATTAGTCCCCTCTCTTCTTCATCGTTTTCTTCTCTGCTGGTTCATTCTCATCAGTAAATAGAAAAAGCCATTCTCAATCCTATTAAAAAATCAAAAACTCCTTTTTAAACCTAATTTTTCTCTCTAGCTACTTTCCCTTTTCTCTGTTCCTCTATATAGCAAAACTTAATAAAGTTACCAGAACTTCACATTGCAGGATCCAATGGTACTATTTCAGTCTTCATCCTACTTGACCTATCAGTATGTAATTTGGTCCAGTGGACCACTAATATGGTTTGGCTCTGTGTCTCCACACAAGTCTCACCTTGGACTGTAATAATCCCCATGTGTTGTGGAAGGACCCGGTGGGAGGTAATTGAATCGTGGGGACAGGTTTTCCCATGCTGTTCTTGTGATAGTGAATAATTCTCACAAGATCTGATGGTTTTATAAAGGGGAGTTCCCCTACACATGCCCTCTTGCCTGTCGCCATGTAAGGCATGGACCTTCTCCTGTACCTTTGTCTGCTCCTGCTCAGTCTCTTTTGCTGGTTCTTTCTCATTTTCCTAACATCTTCACATTGAAGTGTCTCAAGATTTAGATTTCATCTATTCTTTATCTACATTCACTTCCTAGAAGATCTTAATTAGTCTCATGGCTTTAAATACCATCTAAATTCTTATGATGCTTACATTTATACTTTAGCCTATACCTCTTTCTTGGTATATGCAATTCCTATTCAATCTCCCCTGTAACATCTCAAATTTAATATGTCCAAGACTAAAATCCTGTTTTCTCTCCCAAAACTTGCTCTTCCTGCAGAATTTCTTATTTTAGCAAATATAACTTTATCCTCTAAGTTGCTCAGTGTATCAGCTAGCTATTGCATCATAACAAACCACTCCAACCCTCAAAGGCTTAAAACAACAATCATTAATTATTACTCACGTGTCTGAGGTTGATTTAAATTTGGCTGATCTGGGTTTGGCCAGGTACCTCTGCTTCAAGCTTCAGAGGGCAAGGCAGTTCTACTTCCTACTGCAGGTCTGTCAGTCACTTGAGCAGCTCTCTTACACCTGTTTCTTATCTTCCTAGAACATGAAAGCTGGTTAGGGTATATTCTTTTCATGCTGATAGAACAACTGTAAGAGGGCAAGAAATAATGTGCAAGGCCTTTTAAGTCCTGGGCTCAGAATGAGCAGGCAGTCACTTTCATACACATGTCATTCGCCAAAGTTAAATTTGTGTTTGAGTCCATAGTTACGGAATGGAAAAACAGATGCTGCCCACAATGAGGCCACGGGGAGGGCATGGATGCTGGGAAACATGAAGAAGTAGATTCAATCATTTGACTGATTACACTCAGCCAAAATCCTTGGTGTCATAGTAAATTCCTCTTTCTCACATTCCTCTCCACCCCTACTACATCCAATCAGTAAATCCTATGGACTTTACCTTCAAAATATATCCAACTCCTGATCACTTGTCACCACCTTCACTGCTTCCACTCAGGTCCCAGCCACCATCATGTCTAATCTGGATAACCGTAATAGTCTTCTATCCAGTTTCCCTGCTGCTATCTCTTTTTCTTGATCATATTTCTTAACGAGGTAACCAAAGTGGTCCTGTTAAAATGTCAGATCATGTCATTCTTTTTGAACTCTTCCAGGACCTTTCTAACTTAGGAAAAAAGCCAAAATTCTTACTATGGCCTAAAAAAGAAAGTACCGTGATCTTAATCCTATTCCCTTACCTCTATGATTTCATTGTTACTTTCTTCTGCCTTGTGTTGCTCCAGGCTTCTTGCACCTCTTGATGTTTTTTTGAAAATGTCAACCATACCCTTGTGTCAGGATCTTTGAACCTGCTGTTCCTTCTACCTGAAATGCTTTCGCTGCAGGCAGCAACATGTCTTATTCTCTTAGGTCTTTCTTAGGTCTTTGCAAAAACGCTATCTTTTCAGTGAGGCCTTAATTATTCAATTTGCTTCTCTTCACTCATCCCCAAATCTTGCCATCCCCAGCATTCTCCATTATCCTTTCCTACATTGTTTCTCCATAGTACTTATCACCATCTAATATACATATGTTTTATTTTTTGTTCTTTTTTATTTTTCTTTACTTGAGTATAAACTCTCTTCTTACACCTTTTATCTGAGATTTTTCCCCCATCTTGTTCACTACTGTATCTCCAGTGTTTCGAAGAATGCTTGGCACATAGTAGTCCCCTAATAAATATTTTTTGAATGAAAGAATGATTGAATGAATTTTACTGTTTTATCAGTATTTAGTTTATAATGGACAGAAAGGTTACTCATTTGCTTATGTGTGAATAATTACCAGTAAATGTCTTAGGGATGTTTAACTTTTGAAATATTATTGATTATTTATAGTTTTCTGCAGTCAGCTATGGATTTAGGAATTATTTTGCTAGAATATTTTTATCATTTAGATGTTGAAACATTGTTGTTAAAATGGTAGAGAATATATTCATTGAAATTATTTCTTTTCACCTGAACTTCATTTTTATTTTTTCTTCTTTTTGTTTAATCCATATTATTTACTCTGAAGGGCACAGAATCTATGTGGTTTTTCCCTTTTGTAAAATGACCGTTTTTGGAATTTCAGCAAAAATGACCTCAGTTGTAGAAATAAGTAAGTTTAATTCTCCGTTAGATTTTGAGATGATTAAGATTGAGAACAGATCAGATTTTTTATCTGTTATTTTTTCAGCTTTAAACATTTATTTTCAAGCTAGTTTATTTTTCTAAGCCCCCCTACTTTTTTCCTCCACTGAGGGCAAAGTAAGTTTTTTACTTTGCAGAAATGTGCCAGGAGCATCCTGCAAAATCACTGAGGAAGCTTATCCATTGCCATTAATTTTGGAAGATTCATGGAGCTCTGAAAAGACATAAAAAGTCTGTGCTAGGAAGGTGGTTATTATTGTTTACTTTTCTTTCCTTTCATATGCAAGGGGAAGGTGGGCATATTGCCTCAGTTTTAATGATAGTGAGACATGATCAGAGATCATGATATTCTTCTCAAGCTCGAATGGGAGGGAGTGACTGCTCATCCAAGAAAATAGAGGCTGGTCTGCAGTCAGAATTATGTGTGCCTGGATTAAATGAATTGGCATAGGTCTCCCAGTGTATATCAATAAGTTTACTTTCCTTTGTATATTTTACAAAGTTCCTTTCATTTCTTTTACTTTATGAAAGGTGATTGAAGTAGAGGTTTAAAAGAACTAAATATATTGCTGCAATTCTCTACAACTATTATATTTCCTTCTGTATGTCAGGCTGGAGACAATTATCAATAAAATGTACAGAATTATTATTTAGCACTGGCATACCACTTCTCATGCACATTTGTAAAGGCACAGGAGATGTGTTGGGTTCGGTTTTTCAAGCCTTTATAAATAGCTCTTTTGATCTTTGATTGTTTTCATTCAAATTTAAATGTTTTAAAATTCATTTTTAATCTTCAATTTGTGTAGGAAACAAAATCCTCATTATGCTGCTTCTTCATGTTCCACATCCCAAAGGAGGATTTTTCTCTTTTTTTTTTGGGAGCAATGCATAATCTTGTTTTATTTATTTTTTCCTCCAAAATCATCAAATGAAAATTTCTCTTTATATAAAAAAATTGAACTTAAATGATGTCATTTTTAATGGCTGGCATATATTAAGAAAAATACTTTACATGTGGTATTTAATTAATCTCATTCCTAAAATAAAAGCAAAAGATCAGTGGGTCTGTGAGAATGAATAGTGACTTTAGTGTTTTCTTACAGAAACGTTTTCAGTTTGTCAATATGATCTTCTCACATTTTCTTTGGGGCCCAGTGATCCTTTGTCCCCACGTCTCTTCCAGAAAATAAATAGGAGACTCCACCTTAAAGAAGCAAATAAGAAGGAAAATGAATGGACATATAACCATGTACATACTTTGCAGATATTTCCAAAGTTAATTTCTCCCCAAGGAAGGGCAGTAAGCAGTCATTCACTTTGGAAGGTCAAAGTCTTATTTTTAGTCATTTAAAATGGGAATGTTAATAAGAATACAATTAGAGTAAACAGCAGTCTATAGCCCATGTGAGAATCATCAAAGTTATGAACAAGAGGAGGCATTTAAGTGATAAACACAATTGCTGAAATCGGGTTGCGGAGATAAAAGGAGATTAGACTGAGAACATGCTGTGGGATTTTAATCAGATCTTTTTTTTTTTTTACAACATTCCACCTCCCATTTCCTTCTAGCCCAAGTATTGGGCAAACTATGGTCATCCTCTTAGGCTAGAGGACAGGGCGTGTAAAGCTTCATAAAGATAGTGAATATCCACTGTCCCTTTCCACTTCCCACCTATGACAACCTATTGACCCAGCCACTCCTGGTGGGTTACAATCCTTGCTGTAGCTACACCCACATGCCTAGGAGGGAGAACCATTTTCCTCCACGTGAGGGCATACAGGGTGTGAAGTGCTGTTAAGACTTTCTCTACCTCAGGGGAAAGCTAAAAGGGATTGGTTGGACCTCAGCACACCTTTTTTAAAATGTAAAAGCACTAGGATAGGCACTATTATAGAAAGAGGTTTTAAGTTTCTGCTTTTAGAGATTGTCAATGAAAACATTCAGTTAATCAACAGCTATTCACTGAGGCTTATTTTGTTTTCATGTTCAGAGTTTTCACATCTGCTGTCATATGGCTACACCAGGACATTGAGGGCACAAGGAAGTTCTTATTCTGCATCATTTAGACTTCACTTGTCTGAAGGCGAGATGCCGCACCCAGTCTGCAGAGCCAGGAGACAGCTGGCTGGTAAAGAATGTGGCCTCTGTAGTCACATTGCCTGGCTTTGAGTCCCAGTTCTCTTGCTCGCAAGCTGTGGGACTTTAGTAAGTCAATGAATCTCTCTGTGCCTCAGTTTCCTCATCTGTAATATGGGGGACATAATATCTCCCTCATGGGTTTGAGGTAAAATTCTTAGAACAGTGTCTGACACATTGTAGCTCAGGAGCTGTGAGTGGAGGAGGCTGAGACTAAGAATGATTCTACTTTTTATTTAATGTGAGATGTGACTGAACCATATAAAATTAAAGTGACTCATTAAAAAGTGCTACAGCAGCCGTGAATTTTATTCCACCCCAATACTTAGGTGTAAGATATTTCTTTTACTGGCATACCTCGATTTTTGCACTTCACTTTTTTATACTTCTCAGATACTGCGTTTTGCTTTTTTTTTTTTTTTTTTTTTTTAACAAATTGAAGCTTTGTGACATCCTTGTGTTGAATAAGTCTATAGGCACTATTTTTCCAACAGCATGAGTTCGCTTTTTGTCTCTAGGTCACATTTTGGTAATTCTTGCAGCATTTCAAGTGTTTGTATTGTTATGTATCTGTTATGATGATTTGTGACCCCCACTCTTTCATGTTACTATTGTATTTGTTTTAGGATGCCATGAACTGCACCCATAAAAGTTGGCAAACTTAATGCATCAATGTTGTATATGTTCTGACTGCTTTACTGACTGGCCATTTCCCCATCTTCTCCTTCTCTTCAGACCTCCGTGTTTCCTGAGATACAACAATATTGAAATTGGGTCAGTTAATGACTATAATGGCCTATATGTGTTCAAGTGAAAGGAAGAGCCACACATCTCTCACTTTAAATCAAAAGCTAGATATGATTAAACTTACTGAGGAAGGCATGTCAAAAGCTGAGATAGGCTGAAAGCTAGTCTTCTTATGCCAACAGTTAACCAAGTTATGAATGTAAAGGAATAGATCTTAAAGGAAATTAATAGTGCTACTCCAGTGAACAAACAAGTGATAAGAGAGCAAAACAGTCTTATTGCTGGTACGGAGAAAGTTTTAGTGGTCTGGATAGAAGATCAAATCAGCCACAGCATACCTGTAGGTCTATACTTAACACAGGGCAAGATGCTAACTCTGTTCAGTCTTTTGAAGGGAGAGTGGGGTGAGGATGCTACACAAGAAAAGTTGAAAACTAGGAGAGATTGGTATATGATGTTTGAGAAAAGAAGATGAAGCAGCAAGTACTGATATAGAAGCTGCAGCAGAATATCCAGAATATCTAGTTAAGATCATTGATGAAGGTGGCTAAACAACAGATTTTCCATGTAGACAAAATGGCCTTCTACCAGAGGATGAAGCCATATAAGATTTTTATAACAAGAGAGGGGAAGAAGGCAATGCCTAGCTTCAAAAATTCAAAGGACAGGCTGAATCTTATTAGGGGCTAATGCAGTCAGTGACTTTAAGTTGAAGCAAATGCTCACTGATTATTTTAAAAATCCTAGGACCTTTAAAAATTATGCTATATCTACTCTGCCTATGCTCTAGAAATGGAACTACAAAGCCTGGATAAAAGTCCACCTGTTTATAGTATGATTTACTGAATATTTTAAGGCTATTACTGAGATCTACTGCTCAGAAGAAGAGACTCCTTTCAAAATACTACTGCTCATTGACAATGTACCTGGTTGCCCAAGAGCTCTGATGGAGGTGTACAGGGGAGTAAAATTTTCAGGCCTGCTAATGCAACATACATTCTGCAGCCCATGGATCAGGAAGTAATATTGACTTTTAAGTCTTATTATTTAAGACATACATTTTGTAAGGCTATAACTGTCATACATTGTGATTTATCTGATAGATCTAGGCAAAGTAAGTGGAAAACCTTCTGGAAAGGATTTAATATTCTAGATGTCATTAAGAACATTTGTGATATGTGGGAGGAGGTCAAAATATCAACATTAAGAGAAGTACAGAAGAAGTTGATTCCAGCCCTCATGGATAACTTTTAAGGGGTTCATGACTCTGGTAGAGGAAATAACTGCAGATGTGGTGGAAATAGCAGGATAATTAGAATTAGAAGTAGAGCCTGAAGATTTGATTGAATTTGTGCAATCTTATGATAAAACATTAATAAATGAGGAGCTGCTTCTTATGGATGAGAAAGAAAATGGTTTCTTGAGACAGAATCTATTTCTGGTGACAGCGCTATGAACATTGCTGGAAATAACAACAAAGGATTTAGAATATTTTATAAACTTAGTTGGCAAAGCAGCAGCAGGGTTTGAAAGGATTGGCTTAAATTTTGAAAGAAGTTTTACTATGGGTAAAATGCTATCAGACTGTAATGTATGCTACAGAGAAATATTTCCTGAAAGAAAAAGTCAATCAATGTGGCAAGTTTCATTGTTGTTTTAATCTAAGAAATTGCCACAGCCACCTGAATCTTCAGCAACCACCAAAATGATCAGTCATCAGCTATCAATATGTAGGCAAGACAATCCTCCAGCAAAAAGATTACAATGCACTGAAGGCTCATGATTTTTTAGCCACAAAGTATTTTTAATTAATGTGTGTACTTACTAGACTACAGTATAGTGTAAATATAACTTAAGTATGTACTGGAAAACCAAAACATTCATGCGACTTGTTTTATTGCAGTATTTACTTTATTAGGTGATCTGGAACAGAACCCACAGTATCTTCAAGGTATGTGTATACTTCTCTAAATCAAATTTAATCTGATCCAAGCCTTCATCTCATTATATTGGCTGAAAGTTCAGTTTCAATAATTACTGGAGTTTTTTTCCATTTCTGGATTAGGCAAAGGTGCTATTTAGGGTAGATGGGTGGAAGGCGGATCTTGATGTTTTTGGTTCAAATGGATTTCTGCCCAAGCTCACATCAGCCCTTGAGTGGGAGGGGATCTTCTACTTTTGTTTCAAGCTTCAGCCTGTGTCTTCGTGAGGCTGGGTGCCCAGGCACTTAGTGTTCAGTTTCCCTACATACAGAATGCTGTTGTTCCTTTCAGAAGTCTGCCATCTCCTCCTTTTGTAGAACTTCCTTGTAGAAGCCACAGATCTCAGTCCCTATTGTAGTCTTGGGAGAAGCTTTCCCTCGATATATTCACCTTATTTTCCTTTCTTCTTACCCCAAAGACCTAGCATAACTCCCCAGATGAGTTTAGGCTTTTAGGAAGAAAGAATCCAGAAAAATGCATAATCTTTAGGCAAATTCTTCTTTGGCCATACAACATGAACTCCTCTAAGAAGAAAACCTAAAGACCTGGTGACCACCTTGGAGCCAGGAAGCAAAATGACAGGAGAAATAAGACACATATTAATCTCTCACCATCTTGGTTCAACACTGGTTTCAGAATGTAGAACATGGGAGTTTTCTCTGAAGTTCGTGCTGACACTTCTTTCACACTTTTAAAAGTCATCTTTTCAGTCACTCACTAAAATCCAGTCATGTTAAATGGCAGTCTACACAGTTTTAGTAATTTCTGGCCTATCTTATAGCCCATATATATCTTTCATTGGCACATGCAGTATGATTCTTCCCACAACAGAGATCTCAAATGATGGAGTTGCAATGCACACCAGCACAGATCTTGAGGGGCCCAAACACACCAAGATAATAATATGTTAATTATATTTGGTCTGGAATTTAGAATAGATTTTTTGATTCATAGAATTGAAATAAGCCAATTACCTTTACTTCTGTAAAAATACTATGGAATGGATTTTTAAAAGTACAGTGAAGCAGGCTTTGGTCATTCATGACTTTGAAATATCTGCCTGACCTTGAAGAAATTACTGAGAGTCTGCCACTTCTCTATTGCAGGCTCATTGGTCTCTTCCTCTTCTCTTTTATTCTCTATTTATTATTATTTATTTCTCTTTTTCTCCTATGCTCTTCCTCATTGCTTACTCTTTCTATTTCCCCTATCTCCTTTCCCTAATTTTTTTTTTTTTTAAATCATAGAATAGTCATTTTGTAGCCCCATCAAGAACATTCAGGACTAAAAAGACAATTTCTATGTTAAGGTATTTTCTTTTTTTTTAAACTGAAGAGCTTCTTTATCTTCCCATTAACAGAATCTAGATATGCTAATACTTTTATCTATATATACAAATGGTGTTTGTTATTATTTTTTTTCCACCTCAAGAAACTAAACTATAATTTAGGGAAGCAACATAATCTCAGTAAATATCATTCCTAGAGTTCACATCAGAAAAAAATCAGGTCAATTTTCTCTACACTAGTTCTTATGTTTCTAAACTGATATTCCCTTGGATCTTTTTAAGACCAACTGGTGGTATTGAGGTCAGGACTTTAATTGTGAAAATCCAAAGATTTTTGTTTTCATTAAGAAGCTGTATAAAAAAGATGTCGCATCCTGTTTCCATTTCTGCAGCAGCATTTTTCTAAAAGTGGTTAGTGTTAGTTATCTTGCTCCATATCTTGCTCTGTCTCCTGCCCTCTCTCCTTGTCTTTCTCTCTCTTTGTGGATATGTGTGCAAAGATCAGACTCCAAAATCAAAAGAATAAAGTTTTCCAAGTGGTTCAAGTCAATTCAAAAACTGCAAAGAGGATAAAAATAGTTCCTAGTCTCTAGAACAATGTTCAGCAAACTATGGCCCACGGGCCAAATATGGCTCGCTGCATGTAAATATAGTTTTATTGGAACATAGCCATGTTTGTTTCCATATTGTCTATGACTGCTTTTGCACTTCAATGACAGGGTTCAATAGTTGCTACAGAAATGGTATTGCCTGAGAAACCTAAAATATTTACTCTCTGGCTCATTATAGAAAACATTTACTTACTCATGCTATAAAAGCTTACATTTAGTGTGGGAGTGCTGTGGAGAGTAATGGGCAAGGAGACATAGATGCCTGTTTGCTCACCTTTATTATATGTTATGCTGGATAAGGAGGCAAAGTCATTTGTGTTTCCATTGTATTTTGTATATATTTCTTTTAAAGCACTTGCCAATAGGCAATTGCAGTTATTATTTCTAAATACTTGTCTCCCCTAGTATTTAACTGTGTTTCTTTTAAAAACACTTATTGAAGACCTACTTTGTGCCAGGTATGGAAGATATGGTAGCAAACAATAACAGCAAAATATTGACTCTCTTTCATGGGATTTCCAATCAAGGCCAATTGTTGCAAATCCAAATGTTTTCAGGGAACAGGTTGGTAATGTAAATGAGTGAAGCAGCACAGGTATAGGCCACTTTCTTTGACTATTAAGTGTGTAGAAAGAACTTTCACTTCCACAGAGTTTGTGCTATTCCTTGGTTTTATTGAAACATGAGTTTCTCTTAGATTATCCTTCAGTTTTCCAATTATGATAGAGACATCTTTGAGATATATTTCTCTTCTATGAGAAAATAATGTGTGATGGCTGAGGGGGGCTGACACTTGGCTTTCATGTCAGGAAAACAATAAAGAATGATGGGGACTATGACACACTGGAGACCACTCACTTCTTCAAAGGGAACTCCAGCTACTCAACTCCAGAGTATTATTGTCATATAGGAATGGTAAATCCTTCTTCTTCCTCCCCTTCCTCCTCTTCCTCCAGCTTTTCATCTTCTGCTTGTCCTTTTTCTTCTCCATCTCCTTCTTTTGAGGGGACAGAGAGAAGCTGAAGAGCTAATCTGAATTTTATGTGAACTTCTAATTTTTAAATGTTGACTAAATTTATAACATACTGGGCAGGCCAAACTCAGTATATGTGCTGGTCAGATTTTGTTCACAGTCCATCACTTTGTGTTCCCTGTGTGAGAACGGTTTAAGGTCCTTGGGAACAAATACCTTGGTGTAAAAATGACAATATTCTCAGTGATTCTTTAATTGTGTGTTATTAGTTGTGTTAGTCCATTCTCATGCTGCTAATAAAGACATACCCCAGACTGGGTAATTTATAAAGGAAAGAGGTTTAATGGACTCACAGTTCCACATGGCTGGGGAGGCCTCACTGTCACAGTGGAAGGTGAAGAAAGAGCAAAGGGATGTCTTACATGGCATCAGGCAAAAGGGTATGTGCAGGGGAATTTCCTTTATGAAACCATCAGATCTCATGAGGCTTATTCACTATCACAAGAATAGCACTGATAAAGCCCATCCCCACGATTCAATTACCTCACACCAGTCTCTCCCACCACACGTGGGGATTATTATAATTCAAGGTGATACTTAGATGGGGACACAGATCCAAACCATGTCATTTTACCCCTAGGCCCTCCCAAATCTCATGTCCTCACATTTCAAAACCAATCATGCTTTCCCAATTATATTAGTAAATTTGCACACTGCTGATAAAGACATACCTGAGAGCAGGTAATTTATAAAGAAAAAGGTTTAATGGACTCACAGTTCCATGTGGCTAGGGAGACCTTGCAATCATGGCAGAAGGCGAAAGACACATCTTACATGGCAAAAGACAAGAGAAAAAATGAGAGCTTGTGTAGGAAACTCCCCTTTGTAAAACCATCAGATCTCATGAGACTTATTCACTATCATGAGAACAGCAGTGGAAAGACCCCCTGCTCCCATGATTCAATTACCTCCCACTGGGTCCCTCCCATGGCACATGGGAATTGAGGGAGCTACAATTCAAGATGAGATTTGGGTGGGGACACAGTCAAACCATATTATTCTGCCCCTTGTCCCTCCCAAATCTCATGTTCTCACATTTCAAAACTAATAACACCTTCCCAAGAGTCTCTCAAAGTCTTAACTCATTTCAGCATTAACTCAAAAGTCTACAGTCCAAAAAGTCTCATCTGAGACAAGGCAAGTTTCTTCCACCTAAGAGCCTGTAAAATCAAAAGCAGGTTAGTTACTGTCTAGATACAGTGGGGGTCCAGGCAATGGGTAAATATACCTGTTCCAAATGGGAGAAATTGACCAAAATGAAGGGACTGCAGGCCCCATGAAAGTCTGAAATCCAGCAGGGCAGCCAAATCTTAAAGCTCCAAGATGAACTCCTTTGACTGCATGTCTCACATCCAGGTCACACTGATGCAAGAGGTGGGCTCTCATGGCCTTCGGCAGCTTCACCCTTATGGCTTTTCAGGGTACAGCTCCCCTCCAGGCTGCTTTCCTGGGCTGGTATTGAGTGTTTGTGGCTTTTCCAGGTGCACAGTCTAAGCTGTTGGTGAATCTACCTTTCTGGGGTCTGGAGAATCGTGGCCCTCTTCTCACAGCTCCACTAGACAGTGCCCCAGTGAGGACTCTGTGTGCGGGCTCCAACCACACATTTCCCTTCCGCACTGCCCTAGCAGAGGTTCTCCATGAGAGCCCCATCACTGCAGCAAACGTCTGCCTGGACATCCAGGTGTTTCCATACATCCTCTGAAATCTAGACAGAGGTTCCCAAACCTCAATTCTTGACTTCTGTGCACCTGCAAGTTCAACACCATGTGGAAGCTGCCAAGGCTTGGGCTTACACTTTCTGAAGCCATGGCCTGAGCTGTGCCTTGGCCCCTTTTAGCCATGGCTGGAGCAGCTGGGATGCAGGGCACCAAGTCCCTGTGCTGCACAGAGCAGAGGGACCCTGGGCCTGGCCCTTGAAACCATTTTTTCCTCCTAGACCTCCAGGCCTGTGATGGGAGGAGCTGCAACAAAGTCCTCTGACATGCCCTGGAGACATTTTCTCCACTGTCCTGGTGATTAACATTTGGCTCCTCGTGACTTGTGCAAATTTCTGCAGCCCGCTTGAATTTCTCCTCAGAAAATGGATTTTTCTTTTCTGTGGCATTGTCAGTCTACAAATTTTCCAAACTTTTATGCTCTGCTTTCCTTTTAAACATAAGTTCCAATTCCAAACCCATATCTTTGTGAATACATCAAACTGAATGCTTTTAACAGCACCTCTTGAACACTTTACTACTTAGAAATTTCTTTCACCAGATGGCCTAAATCATCTCTCTCAAGTTCAAAGTCCCACAAATCTCTAGGGCAGGAGCAAAATGCCTCCAATCTCTTTGCTAGAACATAACACTAGTCACCTTTGCTCTAGTTCCCAACAAATTCCTCTTCTCCATCTGAGACCACCTCATTGTCCATATCACTAATCAGCATTTTGGTCAAAAC
Organism: Homo sapiens; assembly: GCF_000001405.40. NCBI lineage: Eukaryota > Metazoa > Chordata > Mammalia > Primates > Hominidae > Homo > Homo sapiens. The sequence continues at coordinate 72,071,747 of NC_000012.12, forward strand.
CATTCAACAAGTCTCTAGCAAGTTCCAAACTTCCCCACATTTTCCTGTCTTCTGAGCCCTCCAAACTGTTCCAACCTCTGCCTGTTACCCAGTTCCAAAGTCGCTTCCACATTTTCAGGTATCTTTACAGCAACACCTCACTCTACTGGTACCAATTCACTGTATTAGTCCATTCTCATGCTGCTAATAAAGACATACATGAGACTGGGTAATTTATAAAGGAAAGAGGTTTAATGGACTTACAGTTCCACATGGCTGGGGAGGCTTCACAATCATGGTGGAAGGTGAAGGAGGAGCAGAGGCACATCTTACATGGCAGCAGGCAAGAAAGCATGTGCAGGGGAACTCCCTTTATAAAACCATCAGATCTCGTGATGCTTATTCACTATCATGAGAACAGCATGGGAAAAACATGCCCCCATGATTCAATTACCTCCCACTGGGTCCCTCCCACCACACTTGGGGATTATTATAATTCAAGGTGACATTTGGGTGGGAACACAGAGCCAAACCGTATCATTAGTATTTCTATTTTACAAATAAAACTGATGTTCAGATAGAAGTAACTGGTCTGAAGTCCTGAAAAATGCCTCCCTCTCTCTCCAAGAAAATACTGCCAAAAACACAGGACATTTGTAATCATTTAAAGAGACGATATATGTGAAAATTATTTTGTAAACTATAAAGCATTGTGTTTTATGTGAAATATATGTGAAAGTTACTTTGTTAACTGTAAAGCTTGTGCTTATATTGGTACATATTGGTGCTTATATTAGTATATAAAGTGATAAAAGAAAGCTTCCACGTGATCTGTAAGAGTGAGGGAGAGAGGGATTTATTTGCTGCCAGAGACTTTGATGTGGACTTCCACAGAAGGCTGGGACTTTGAACATGTGGAAAAAGAGCATATCCCAGGCAGAGGGAACTGCCTGAACAAAGGCCAGAGCATTCTTTCCTAAAAGATTTCTGGGAAGCCCATTGAAGCAAAGGCGTTTGAGAAATGCTGGCCTAGAAATAAGTAGCTCTAACTTCCCTTGGGGAACTGAGCATAATTGTGTGATGGAAACACAGTTGTGCCTACTGAACACATGTTTGGAGAGTTGGAAAACTGCCAAATTGCAGATGGCCTGAAGGGCAAGTCTGGAGAATCTGAACTTTATTCTGTAGGAAACAGGCATTAGTAGGGGTTTTAGGCAGGCAAGAAATATCTTTATACTTGAGTTTAAGAGGAAAATACACTCCTTTAACAGGCATAGGCATGATGGATAGCTTTGGGGAATTGACTGGAGGCTGGGAAACAGGTTTATTCATCTAGGAAGACAGCCAAGAAGTACAAATGAAGGGTAGAATTGGGAAACATTTTCCATAGTCATTCTCATATCTTTGATAAAGGTGGATTTTAATAAGGAGATATTTAGATCTGGCCTATAGATCCATTCCAGAGAACTTAAAGAATTTTTACATCACTAAACTTGATCCTTCTGTCACCAGCAGTTTAGAGACATGAAAGCACCGGAGAGAATGATATACATTCATTTTTATTTAGAAAAATTTAAGTATGTGATGAAAAATCCATTTGGTGGTACCTGATGTTCTGATGTTCATGAAATATGGTGCACTGGGTTTATAAGCTGGATCTGCAATAAGGATATGTTCTTCTAGGCTGTTGGTAGGAAGCTTCTAATACCTCCCTTCTCTTTTTTTTAGTGGCAGTGTTTAGACTTTACTCCATTTACTTGCTTCAGAATATTATCCAGTTTAGCAACTCATACCAACTTGTTCTCTTGTCATTATTTCTAGATTTCTTAGGCAGATTGTTTTTTTTTTTTTTTCTTTTCCCTTGTAGAATTCTTTATCTAACAGGTAATAACTCAAATGCTTCGTCAAAGGCTGGTTTTCCAGGCCTGTTGGAGACAGACCACTTGGATAAGAAACAGTCAAGAGACTTTATCATCTGTTTCTCCCATGTCCAAGTGAGTATTCTGTATCCACAGATGTTTTAATAGTATAGGTGTCTGATATCTCTTTGTAAGTCTCTAATTTCTACTTTAGCTTGTAAATAGCCATCTCAAGAGAAAACTAGAGAAAAAAATATGAGTAGATGGAGTTTATGCAGATTGATTCAGATTAGCATTATTCATTAACCTCGGCAGTTTGTGCTGGTTAGTAATCGCCAACACACCACACTTTGGAAGGTGACTTAGGTGGTGTAAATGTCCCTTCAAAGATGTTTTTGCTATTTCATTTAAAAGGCAATGAATTAGCACTGGACATCTGCCATCTATAATTTCTAACTAGTAGAAGTGCTCTTCTATATAACATATTAGATTTTAGTGCTGAGAAAATTTCACCATCAAATAATATTTTGTTTCTCTAGTGGGAAAAATAATTGAAGACCAGAATAATGTCAGGAGTGATAATAAAATTTACATATGATTTTTGGACACAAATTGTTTACAGTTTATTTTTAAAGCACCAAGTAAATACATATTTAGATCAGGAAATATATATTGTTGATATGACATTATTTTAAAACAGACTCAATTTTTATGGTCTGGAGTGTGATAGCTCAAATTCTGGAGACAGATGGACCTGGGTTCCATCTTAGTTCAGTCTCCTGTTAGGCGTGACATGGATAAATTACTTAACCTCTATGAACTTCAATTTCCTGTGCAAAATGAGGATAATAACAGCTACTTTATAGAGTGGTTTTGAGGATTAAGTAGACAGTGCTTAGAAAGCACTTAGCAGAGTACATAGTACAGGGTAGGCCCTTCTTAAATGGTAGCTATAATTATTATTGAATCAGATCCTTCCAAAAATTAATCTATTCCTTGATTTTAATTTTGACATATAATTTTGAAATAAATTCTTTCAGGCATTTCTTTGTGGAGTTTGAAATAAGAATGAATGGTTTTAGAATCTATGATCTGCCATTTACTTAACTGTGTGACTGTGGACAAATCATTCATTCATTCATCTATTCATGCATTTATTCAATGTAACTTGGTGCCATTATATGCTAAGTTTTAGGCATTGGAGCTAAAGAGGTAAAGAAGAAAGACAAGTTCTTTATCCTTATAACTGACATTCTAATATCACATGTTGACTACCAAAAATGGAATGAAATAAAACATGAAATGATAATTAAAAAGAACATAATTTAAAATGGTTTTATAAGGAGTGTAAAAATAGACTATTATTTTGGAAGGTAATTGGGAGGGGCAGATAGATAGTGTGGCCAGGTCCGAGAAGATGTATTTCATTTAGGACTTAAATCACGAACAGTTGAACATGCAAGGATCTGTGAGAACATTCCAGATAGAGAGAACTGTATGTGCCAAAGCCCTGAGAGGGTAATAGCCTTGGTGGGGAGGGACAGGAAGAGGCCTCGTGCAGCTGGAATGCAGTGTGTGAAGGGGAAATGGTGGGTGATGAGAACAAAAAGGCAGATAGGGCCAGATGAGGAAGGCCTGGTATATTATGGTAAAGAGTTTGGATCTAATGTTAAGATGAATAGGAAGCCATTGGAGAATTTTAATCAGGAGGAAGGCATGTTCTGATTTTCATTATTTAACCTTTTCCTGGGTTCTGTTTCTTATGCATAAAATGTAGACAATAATAGTAGTTACCTGATAGGATGTTGGGGCATTAAATGAGATATTGTGGGTAAAGTAATGGCATATATAACCACAAAATAAACATTAGTTTTTTTTTAAATGTATTTTTACAGCTGCTGTGGAATGAACTGGGTGCCTCCAGAATTCCCAACTGAAGCCCTAACTTGCAGTGTGACTGTATTTGGAAATAGGACCTGCAGGAAGTAATTAAGCCTAAGTGAGGTCATAAGGGTAGGGCGCTAATCCGATAAGTCTGGTGCCTTATGAGAAGAGGAAGAGACACCAGAGCTGTCTTTCTACCATGTGAGGACACAGCGAGGCTTGTTGGTGTTGATTACATGGGTATGTTTGATTTGTGATAATCCATTAAGCTATGCAGTTATGTTTTGTGCACTTTTTTGTATAATGTTTTACCACAACAAAAATGCAAATTCAGGAAACGAAAAAATTAGATAAAAAATAGGCTACAACGTAGATTAAATACAGAGCTTAAGATAGTTTATCTCAAATGTATAAGGAGCATGAATTCTTTGCAGAACTAAGAAGCAGTATTAGATCCTTGTGCTTGTGTCAGTGGCCATGCCCATGGCAGGCCTAGGTTTGGGCTGATTGTCCAGGATCTATAAGTAGGATTGGCTTCAGCTGGGCAGGAGAGAGCAGGGCGGGGCTTTCACATAGGCGCACTGTGAGGTAAGCCGGCAGGGGGCTAGCTGGTATCTGGGAGGCCTGGCAGTGGTCTGTAGACAGGTGTCCTGGCTAGTGGGTTAGGGCTCTCAAACTGGCAGCAGGCAGGCAGTGAGTGTCCAAGCCGGCAGGTGGTCAGTGCGGGGAGTCCTTATAGCATGTAGTTCTGACCATGCCATGATAATAGGGTTCAGGGACCGGCCTTCACATCATGAGAGAGTTGGAGGAAAAAGATTGAATTAAAGTCTCAGAGAAAGAGAGTACAAGGGAGAAAATAAGGCAGCGACTTAGTTCTTGAAAGTGGGGTACAATGCGGAGGTTTGGTCGTAAGAGTCTCAGAGCCTGAAGCTATTTTGAGCCTACAGGTGGGAGTTAAGTGTTTGCAGCTGTACAGCTTGCAGGCTAGGAGAGGGAACCAGACTGCTATACAATTTATAGTACCTAGGAAAAAATAATAGCAACATAAAATGTTAGTACCAGAAGGGACCTTAAAACTCATCTAACTCAATTCCTAATATTATTGAATATATACCACCTGTATGAAACACCACTGGTTGCTTTTAATAAGCTAATCTGTCTGATCCTCCTAACCACCCTGTGAATGAAATAGTTACTATTTTTCTTACAGATGGATCAGAGAAGTTAAGTAACTTCCTCTGTGTCACACAGCCCAGTCAATACGTTTGCTGAAATCTGTACTGTTTTAAAGCCCTGTGCTCGTTGTACTTCATTGCATACCAAGTTATGGCACAGTGGGCTCTGTAATTAAGCCTCCTCGACTTCTAGGTTTATTCCATATACAACACAACAGAAAGGACTAATTGTACTTACATGTATTGACTGAAAAGGAGAGGATCTAAGATTTCAATATCTCTCCTATCTCACTTGAGCTAAAAACATGGATTAACTGATTATTTACACTGTAAGCATTGGGTTCCTGTGTCTGAAGGTTGTTGAAAATCTGATTTGTGCCTGAAATGGCCTCAAACACAGAGAAATGGTTGAATGGATCCAATTGTATTATAGGGTTCCAGCTGAATTGTTCTATGTACAGCCTCAGTTTAGGAAAACCAGAGCAAGCTAAAGTAAAAAAAAGAAAAATAGGAAAAAAAACCCAAATAGGAAACTTCTAGCCAACTGTTCTGAAGCTCTTTCTGGTGAGAAGTGAGCTGATGGAGTAGAGAGAGGCTAATGACACCCTTGCAGCCTACTATCAGAGACCTATTAGCCCTGCGGCAGGAATGGGGAAGACAATGGAAGCACTCTGCAGGGATAGAAGAGGAGAAATTTCCAAAGCCACCTGAAACGCTAAATAATTATAGAGAGTCACCTGAAATTTAGCCAGAAACACAGCATGGACAAGTCACTTAACACCTTTATTCATCCTGTCTGAATTGCAGATAAAAGCTTTTTATCTACTTACCTTATAGAGACATAAGAATACATGTAATTTCTGTTGTAAGATTCTTCCAATTATTTCACAAAGAATACTATCTAAAGACAACGTGTTGTTATTACCGTTTCTTTTTGCTTTGTGTCTAGGGAGATTTTGAAAGATGCTATAAATGAGTCAGATGCGTGTCATGGATAATATCTCCATCCCCCAGGAGTTTGAAATCTGTGGATGGCAAGCTATTTTTATCCCCAGCACCTAAATGTAGAAATGCAAATAAACACATATTGATATGTACATAATATATAGAGAAGATGCCATTGTCATAGTTATATTGTGTTAATCATCTTCATGTTAGTCAAATGAGTCTTCTCTCTATATATCTTGCTATATGCGTTGCTCCTTTTTTCCTTCCTGCTAGTGCTCATTCTGCATTCCTTGTCAGAAATGTCTGCATTTATTGAGATGTTATTTCACTTTCAAGTCCCTTTTCTAATCTTAACTTTTCCTTGATCTTGTCAGCTTTCCCTGATCTTTTTTTTCTTGAGTTATTATTGTAGTTATCTACAGAATATGGCTATTAATTATTTTCTAGTTGTTCCACATATCCTATTTGGCACAATTTTCAGCCTCTATAGGAACTTTTATTTTATTTTATTTTTTATTTTATTTATTTATTTTTATTAGAAAAAATCGCGATCGTATTTAAAAAGGCCACATGATAACAGAACTCAGTAATACGTCCTACTATTTTCTTTTTTTCCCTAATAGGCCATTTTTTGTTCTATAGGTTTTTGGGGAACAGGTGGTATTCAGTTACATGAGTACATTCTTTTTTTTTTATTATTATACCTTAAGTTCTAGGGTACATGTGCTCAGTGTGCAGGTTTGTTACATATGTAACAACCTGTGCCATGTGCCATGTTGGTGTGCTGCACCCATTAACTCGTCATTTACATTAGGTATTCCTCTTAATGCTATCCCTCCCCCCTTCCCCCACCCAATGACAGGCCCCATGTGTGCTGTTCCTCACCCTGTGTCCAAGTGTTCTCACTGTTCAATTACCACCTATGAATGAGAACATGCGGTGTTTGGTTTTCTGTCCTTGTGATAGTTTGCTCAGAATGATGGTTTCCGGCTTCATCCATGTCCCTACAAAGGACATGAACTCATCCTTTTTTATGGCTGCATAGTATTCCATGGTGTATATGTGCCACATTTTCTTAAACCAGTCTATCATTGATGGACATTTGGGTTGGTTCCAAGTCTTTGCTATTGTGAATAGTGCCGCAATAAACATACGTGTGCATGTGTCTTTATAGTAGCATGATATATAATCCTTTGGGTATATGCCCAGTAATGGGATTGCTAGGTCAAATGGTATTTCTAGTTCTAGATCCTTGAGGAATCGCCACATTGTCTTTCACAATGGTTGAACTAGTTTACAGTCCCACCAACAGTGTAAAAGTGTTTCTGTTTCTCCACATCCTCTCCAGCACCTGTTGTTTCCTGACTTTTTAATGATCACCATTCTAACTGGTGTGAGATGGTATCTTATTGTGGTTTTGATTTACATTTCTCTGATGACCAGTGATGATGAGCATTTTTTCATGTGTCTGTTGGCTGCATAAATGTCTTCTTTTGAGAAGTGTCTGTTCATATCCTTCACCCACTTTTTGATTGGGTTGTTTGATTTTTTCTTGTATATTTGTTTAAGTTCTTTGTAGATTCTGGATATTAGTCCTTTGTCAGATGGGTAGATTGCAAAAATTTTCTCCCATTCTGTAGGTTGCCTGAGGAACTTTATTTTATACATTTTATACGTTGATTTTGGTATCCCATTATGCCATGCACAGTTCCAGGCACATAAAAGTGCTTCACAAATGGTCATTTGTTTCTCCCTCCTCACTGAAGGTCTACTTCTTTTCCTTCCTTCCTTCCTTCCTTCCTTCCTTCCTTCCTTCCTTCCTTCCTTCTTTCCTTCCTTCCTTCCTTGCATTAATTTTCCAAGCTGAAACATGAAAATTTTTATCATTCAGAATTTTTCTATGTGTTGACAAATATTCAAATGCTCTTAAACATTTGAAAATTTGAAAGTGTCTGTTTGATATAATATTGAAAAATGTGCAGACATTCCATTTCAGTCCAGTGTTGGGACAAGTATTATAACCTAACAAAATGCCCCAGAGGTAAGAAACATGTGGTTCTCTCAGTCTAGATTTCAATTTATAAAGTGAAGTAGGCCAGGTGCTGTGGCTCACACCTGTAATCTCAATATTTTGGGAGGCCAAGGCAGGAGGGTTGCTTGAGTTCAGGAGTTCAAGACCAGTTTTGGCAACATAGCAAGGCTTTTAAAAAAACGTATTTAAAAGTAGAAAAGAAATTAGCCAGGTGTGATGGTATGCACCTGTAGTCCCAGCTACTTGGGAGGCTGAGGCAGGAGGATAGCTTGAGCCTAGAGATCAAGATGGCAGTTAGCTATGACTGCGCCACTGCACTCTAGTCTGGGTGACAGAGTGAGACACTGCCTCAAAAATAAATAAATAAATAAATAAATAAATAAAATTTAAAAATAAGCAAATAAATATACTTATATATGGAAAAATATTAATGACTATGGCATGAAAAATAGATTGTGCACACTTGATAAAGAATTATTGGCCAGGCGCGGTGGCTCATGCCTGTAATCCCAGCACTTTGGGAGGCCGAGGCGGGTGGATCATTTGAGGTTAGGAGTTTGAGACCAGCCTGGCCAACATGGTGAAACCCCGTCTCTACTAAAAATACAAAAATTAGCTGGGCATGGTGGTACATGCCTGTAATCCCAGCTACTTGGGAGGTGTGCCACTGCACTGCAGCCTGGGCGACAGAGTGAGGCTCCATCTCAAAAAAACAAAAACAAAAACAAAAAAAGAATTATTGATGGGGAGGGAATGAGGAGATGTTGAGATGTTGGTTAAAGGTTATAAAGTTTTACTCTAGATAAGATAAATAAGTTCTGAAAATGATTTGTACATCATGGTGACTATAGTTAATAGTAATGTACTGTCTACTTGAAAATTCCTAAGACAGTAGATCTGAAACGTCCTCATTATAAAAAAGATAAATATATGAAATGATAGATATGTTAATTTGATTTAATTATTTCACAATGTACACATATCAAAACATTCATTGTACACCACAAATATATACAGTTTCATATTTTTTAATTATACCTTGAGAAAGCTGGGAGTAAAAAGAACTATTGATACCCAGACTAGGGTCTAGAGCCAATATGAGGTGGTAGGGACTGTAGTTATTTATCACCATATGATAACATAGGGACGGTGTAGGCAGATTTTTCAAAATTTTAAGAAAATCCAGAAATTGTCATTTTTAATGTGCGATTTTTCAAATATTGGCAATAAATTAACAATCTTTTAAAACACATTATTAGGGCAAATGAAACATGTCTGTGGACCAAATTCTGTTTATAGGTCCCAGTCTTTCAGGTAAGATATTGGTGAAAAATTTAGATTTTCATATATGTGCAGTGGGAAATAATTGAATAGTCTTAGCAGGAGTGATGTGATCTAATTAACATGTCCACAAGAACCTCCTTGCCACAGGGTGGAAAGTGGCTTCTTTGGAGAGCAAGAGTGGAAGACAATGAGAAGGTAATTGCCATGGTCCAATTGAGATGATGGGCTTTGGAATATGGAGGTGACAATGAAGGTAGAAGAATTGGAGTTCATTTTAGAGTTAAAAGGAAAGGATAGAATCAAGGACATCACACAAATTTCAGGCCAAAGCAATTGGATAGGTGCTGGTGCCATCTACTGAGATGGTGAAAAGAGAAAAGTAGTAAGTTTCAGATAGGATTTTGGGCAAGTTCTTTCTTGAATCTCTTACTTTGAATGTTTAATTCACTAATTTTTTCTTTTAAAATTGGTAGTATTTCTGTTTTGACCCCATAAAGATTGTGATTTTTATTTTTTGGTGGCTTGTCCCCCAAGAATCTGTTGCATTTTTTATTTCCTTTTCAACCCAACTTTGTTTAGTGGAATATTTTTAGATATCTAAGAGGTTCTGGCTTTGTTATTGACTTCTTTTAATTGCACTGTGATTAGAAAATGGAGTTTATTCAAATTCTGCCTTTATAAACTTGTTGAGATATTCTTTGTTTCCAGTATTAAATTGGTTCTTTTGGGAAAAATATTGATTTATTCACTTTACCAAGGCTTCAATATTTTAGAAGGCCTATCAGAATTTTGTACTCAGATTGACTTCAAGAAAGAAGAATTATTCTGTTTAGAATAATTTGCCTGTTATTGAAAATATCTAATACAAAATCAATCTTCTGAGGAGGTAATGCCATACCATTTTTCACATATATTTTCAGGTTAACACAGTGAAAATTTGCTATAGAGCATTTACTTTAGATCAGACTTGGCCAAAAGGCAATTTCATTTTGGACTTTGTCCAAGGGAGTTTGACTGCTTCCAAGGGATTTAAGCAACTGAAGGCTAGAGTGTTACAGAGTCTCCAGGACAGTTTCTCCTAACACATTCCCAGCCCTTGCACAACCTGCTGGTCCAGGGGGTGGTGCTCTCTCCATCACAGATGCTCCCGTCTCAAATGTGTACTTCCTTTGATTCCCTCAGATGCTCTCATCGCCTCTTTCTTTCACAAACCCTCATTTCTGTGAGTTGAAGAGCTGAATCTTATGCACATACATTTCTTGGTACTTCTCTCTCTAGTTCAATATTGTGCAGCTGCTCAGCAATGGAGTGATTGTCTTATTACTGCCACTTTTTACTGGCTTTTTCAGCCTCCTTTCTCTTCTTTTTAGTAATTGGTCAAGCAGAGCAAACTCTTGCCAAACTCCTATTTTTCATTATATTCCCTTGATTTATTTGTTAGTTTATTTTTTCAGTTTTATTTTCTCCTTTGGTTCCTATAAGGTGTTTATTTCACAAGCATAGGTAATTTTTAAAGCTCCTTATAATAAAATATTCTACTGTAAATCTGTTTATTTTGTACTATTTTGGACTTCAATGTACACCTTTTTATATCATCTTTGTGAATAGTTGAACTTCATTTGCAGTAGAAAGAAAATAATGAGAAGAGTCTAATGCAGTACCTTTATAGACAAAAGTTCACGTAGGAAGAGATTCTCTCTGATGCAGGTTCTGAAATATCACTGAGGAAAAGGTTATACTAAGGGTGAGGCAAGGTAAAGAATTCAATTCAAATTCTTTCCCAATTGTTAGCTAGTATTTTTAGTGTACATTGAAAATAAAGTAGTCTACCAGTTACTAAGTAGGCTTGAATACGTTATTTTAGGAAAAAAATTATATGGGATTTAAGTGCAAGCTCAGGAAGAGAGAGGCCTAGGCTAGCTTTCTCATCTTCTCTGGTCCCCATTTAGTTGCAGTTGCTTCTGAAAGAAGCAATCAGCAGTGGTTTATGATGCTCAGACATTTCTATGACGTGCACTCACTGAAAATCATTGATATTTCTGCTTTAACTAGATTTAGCTACTTTGGGTTGAAAGCTCTATGCTGCCTGAAATCCCATTTTACGAAACCTGCCAGTGAGTAAAACCACTGAGTCCTTCAGGAAAATTCCATTGCAGTTAGAGGAAGCTGTTAATTACAGCTACAATCAGTGCAAAAACTCTACCTTAAAGGTGCAGGAATTCTGCCTGCTCCAGCTGGTCTTTGTATCCAGCCCATGTGGCTCCATTCAAGTGGCATCATGTGGCTTAGACTCTTTTGATGTATTTCCTGGGAACCCATGATTATTGTGTCCCTGCAAAATGCTTTGAGAGCAAGGCCACGGATCTTTCAGGCATCTCTTCTCTTTTCCATTTCTGAGATTCCAGACCTCCCCATTCTGCATCCATCCTCCCTACCCCTAGCTTTAGCAAACAGCTAATTCTTAAAAAATAAGTCTAAACGAGCCCCACACTTGATTATTTGTGGAACTGGCCCCTTTGCACAGAAAATGTTACCTTGGGAACTGGGGTAAATTGTAGGCTTATGGATTATAAATATTTTTTTTTTGCCTTAATGAGAATTTAATTTGTTATGAATGGTTCATCGTAACATATGCCAAGAAGAGCATGCCAGAAATGACAATCTGAAGGAACACACGGGATCTAAGGCTTCCATACTTTTCCAAGAGTAAAAGAGATCATTGAAACAACACATGTCAGATGCTATTACTGTCATATTGTTGAGGCCATCTGTTAAAAACCAAGATCAGGACCTGCTGCATTCATTGAATTTGGAGTTCTAGAAAGGACAATGTCACATAAAATTAAGTTGATTCTGTTAAGAGGAGTATATCTGAGGGATTTATTTTTTTCCTGAATGATTTGCCCATGTTGTTTGTGTAGATGTCCATATAAACACAGCAGCTTTTAAAAAAGAGCACTCAAATTTGCATCACTATGCTAATTATTCAGTTTTTGAAACACTAAATAGCAATAATAGTTTGTATATTTAGGTAGATATTTGGATGTATGCATGTAAAGATGCAGAATGTGGATATATACCTGACAAAGTTGGCACTTAGAATGCTTAAGGGCTTTCAGAACAAACCAAGAATGACTGTAAAAGAATATCTGATAGTTTATAGAAAAAAATGTGTTATTTCCTTTGATATTCTGATGAAGCCAGAAAGGAGAATTTAAGAGTGGTTTTTAATGAGAGGTTTGCTCACTTTTCAGCCATTCTTGCTTTTATATTGAAATATCAAGCTGCTTTTATTAAACAATAATTACATGGGCTTCCCAGTCTCCTAGAATGTTTCTTTGGGCAGTATTTCAAGTGTCCCTGCTAACATCCCATTTGTCTGTGTTCTGTGCTTTTTTACATTCTCTCCCAATACACTGTCTCCTCACACAAATAACAAAAGAGTATAGCTTCTTTTTCTAATTCTGTTTCTTAACTCTGATCAGTCTCTGTGGCTGGCATTCTTTAGTAAAAGCTTATTTACTGGATGCATTGGTTCTTAACCAGCGGCTGAATGCATTAGGCAAGTCATGGACAATCTTTCGATTTTAGTTTCCTCATCTATAAAACATTTGGAGTAAATGTAATGGTCACTAATATTATTTCCACCTCTATAAGTCTAGGATTCTAGGAAAAGCAAAGTCTTGCCTATGTCTATAAAGCAATATGAGATGCTATATTCATTTATCCCACCAGATAATATAAAGTTAATTATATATATAGCAAAATTGGCAAGAAAATCTAAGACTTAGAATAATCATGCTTGATACAAATCTTAACCATTGAAGATAAAGACATACTTTCTGAATATTTCTCTAATTTTTCAATAGATGTCTATATTTCCACTGAGAGTTTCTTCATCTTATTCCTTGTTTCACCACAAATTCATCTCTATCCTTCCTTCCTACCTTCCTTCCTTCCTTCCTTCCTTCCTTTCTTCCTTCCTTCCTTCCTTCTTTCCTTCCATCCATCCATGCTTGCATTTATGAAGTTTCTTTCTAAGGTCATTAATGACTTTGATGGATGCAGCTGGTTTTTCACTTATTTTCTGTGTGTAAATGTCAAGGCTGTTCCCATGTTATCATAAGCCTAGGGAATTGTTTACAGTTTTCTCATGCATAACAAATGGATGGGAGGGGAAAGGAGGTGGAGTGAGAACCAAATTGAAATGGATGCAGACCCAGATGGTTAGAACTATAGGGCAACACCAAAGCAGTAGGGGTGGCTATGGGTGGAGACAGGAGGCTCACTTTAAGGGTTTGGGGTGGGATTTTATAGCTGAAATCCTGTAATTTATCACTCTCTTTCCTGGAACTTCCAAAATCGGGAGAACAGACACTGAGAACTAATTTTAAGCAGAAAATAACATCTGAGTAGTTGCCTGATGGGCCTGTCTAATAAATGCTGGAGCATAAGACTTATGCCTGGAAGCCCAAGAGCCAATTCCCATTCCTTCTCACCTAATAGTTGACCTTCACGGCAGACCCAGTCTGACTCACTCAGCCATAACCTACAAATTAGGATTTCTAATTTAACTGCAGTGATCCTGTTCACTTGTGAAATGGATCCAGCATCTGCCTCGGTCTCTGACTAGTGTCCTGTAGCATACATTCCCTAGTTGAATTCTGGGGAATGTGTGTGTTTGTGTGTGTGTGTGTGTGTGTGTGTGTGTGTGTGTGTGTGTGTGGTGGGGGGAAGAATGGAAATGAGCTAGTCAGGGAGTGGACAGTGGTGGAAACATAGACAGGAGACATCCCTGTAGGAAGAGCAGAAATACAAAGAGAGGGACAGAAATGCTCCCTGACCCCAGCACTTCTTACATAAAGAGTAAACATACTAAATATGGTCAGTTGTTCACCTTCTTTGCTCTGCGTACAATTCTTGTGGAACTCTTGCTTACCATTCCAGACTGTTTTAAAAATTTAGCTTAATGAGATGGTACTTATTTACATTTGGGGATCAAAATACTTTATGCTTTGTACTTCCAATAAGGAGGGATTTGCTTATCAGGTTGATTGGAATTTCCTCTGAACTTATTTAAGTAAGCTACTGATTCATTATGACTCTTCATAGATTGAGAGAGCGTCCCTAACCCCCTGGGAAACTTTTAACTGGATTTTAATCTACATTTGATTAAATTAAACAAAAATTATTGTCTACCATATGAAAATCTCTATAGGGTAAGCAGAATTAAGTTTCTTGTTCTTGGGAATCTTACAGTTTGGTTAAAAATGTTAATACTGTACATATGGATTCTAAGAACACATGTCAACATTTCTAAAATTGGGATTCTTCTTACAACTGGTGGCATGACATAGTTTAATTGACAGCATTTAAAACTTCTTAATAGTATATAAAATTATGTGTCTTAAAACTAATGTCTTCAGATTCAAAGAGACATGGTTGCACCAGCAATTTGGGCAATTCTACCTGCTTGCCATTTTCCTTGATAAGCATATGCTGTCAGTGATTGTGGGTTAGGAAATACAGATCTGTAGTTCTATAGCTCAGTGCCAGTTTACACATGTCTCTCATTGTGTATCTCACCAGCTGAAAGTGATTTCTAGCATATAAAGATATATCATCGTCTTAGAACACGCTCTCTAAATGCAAACCAATTACCTCACTTGGCATTTAGTAAATGAAACAGAAATCTCTTCCAATACTCGAACACTGGGTATTCTAGAATTGCTAAAAGATAACATAATGGACTTCAACTTTGTACCTTTCTGAGAGATTTTGAAAAGTAAATCTGACTGTATACATTTCCCCCCCATAAATCATAACTAAAAGACAATGTAAGATATGTTTTCACTTTACAGAACTAGTCAGGATATGGCATTTTTGACATTGGTAGGAAGACTGTATGATGTCTAAGTCATTTCCATGCATTTGTACACTTGGAAAACATATCAAATGCCTATTATGTTAATGCCTACCCAGTCTGGGATAGTATAACTGGAGGGGTCAAGAGATGTCATTATGATTTTTGCCTTCAAGGACTTTGTAATATAATACAGCAAAGTATATACAAATACTTAAATGAGCAAATATTTGTAATTGTTAATGCTATTAAATGAGTTAATATTTTAAAATGCATTTAGAACAATATCTGAAACACTGTAAGTGCTACATGAAAGTGTTTGCTAACAAAAAGAAAGATACAAAGGAAGGACAAATTGTAGTATAGTACAGTATGTGGTAAGGAATGCCACATGGTGCCAAAAATGCTATGAAAATTCAAATAGAGTGACATGTTCCGGCTAAGGGAATTTTTGAGCCAAGTCTGTTAAGAACAGTAGGATTCCAGTGGAGAGACAGAAGAGAAGGCATTCCTGACCCAAAGAGCATCAGAAGAAAAGTCCATATAAACTTGCTTACCTTATCACATTAGAGCCTGTTTGTTTGCTGCAGGAGAAAGCAAAGGGCAAGATAAAACCTGAAGACACAGAAGAAAGATGGGATCAATAATAGAACATGGCTTGGTGAAGAGGTGAGAGGTGATATAATCCAGAGCATGGGCCTAGGGATTAATCTTAGACCACAGAAGTGTCATCTATTCCTCTGGGACAGAAAGAAAGGAAGGAGGAGTAAGTACAGATGCAAATGAATGAATTTTGGGGGTCAGGAATTTGGAACTAGCAGGAATTTGTGTCTGATGGCTTCTATTTTCTCTTTGAAATAAAGAGGAGATAAGGTTTTTCTGGTGACATGGCATGGGATAGCATGTGCAGTGGCGGCAGTGGGTGGGTAAGAATTGATTAGAGTGATGAAGGCTTGGAACAACTGCTCAGGGAATGGGAGAGAAAATTGAGCAAAGACAATATGAAAAAAATATTGCTCAGCAATACTGGAAGTGCATTTGATCTTAGAAACTATACCTAGTAGCAATCTGGGCCGTTGTGTGATTCCTCCAGCACCATTTACCAGCCGAGGTGTAGGAGAACAGGAGGAGTAGGACTGCAGGATCTCTACAAGGTTGAGTTGTCTTGGAAGCTGCAGCTCAATGGAGAAAAAAGTGAAGTCAAGGAGGTATCCAAAGGAAAGGAAATTGAGGGTTCAGGATTTGGAGGACTTGAAAAAGTTTATCACTAAATTTGGTGGAAATGATGGAGAAGGTTATTTGAGGGACAAGGAAATCCAAGAGGTTGTGTTTACAGAATAAAGTACTAGCATCTTGGGTGCTTAGGCTGAGTAAGTCCCAGCAGTGGAAAAGTGGCTGTTGGATAGTCATCCACATAGATATCAAATTAAATCATCTTCTAAGTCCTCAATGTTATCTTGAGAAGTGATGTGAAGATCAAAAGATGATAATAACGAGGAAGACTGGAAAGAGTTATAGGAGAATCTAATGTACCTTGAAGAACTGAGGGCACATTTTAAAAAATTGCGAGTGGAAAGGGAAAAGAAGATCTGGGAGAATGGTGAGTGATATCCAAATATTTTAGCATTAAAGTATATAGGCTGTTTGACAATGGGCATTTGAGAGGTATATTAAAAACCTAATATTTTTAGAGGAAAGATGTGACTTGAAGATTAGTTAGGTAGCAGTTTAGCATTCTAGATTAGAGTATGAACTCCAGCATTACACAAATCTAAATAAAATCCAGGCTATAGAGCTGTGTGATCCTCAGCAGCATAACTTTGCTGCGCCTCGGTTCTCTCATCTGTAAAATGGAAATGATGAAATATCTGGCTACTTATAGGGATTAAATGCTTCACAGACCTCCCATCCTGAGTTCTGTTCTTCTCACATCTCTCATTCTTTACTGGTTCTTTCTCCTCTCCGGGCTTTTATTATTGAAGCATTGTAGGGCTCAGACTTTGATCTGCTTCATTTTCTTCCCTCCCTTCTCTTCTCTTCTTCTTTTCTCTCCTCCCCTCCCTTCTTCTACCTTCTCTTATCAGTCAGCTTCTTGGTTTCAAATACTATCCATATGCTAATTCCTAAATATGTATCTCTAATATAGACCTTTCTTCCAAACTTCAGACCCATATATCCACCTGCCTATTAGACCTCTCCATTTGGATGGCTATTAGATATCTCCAAATCAATATGTGCAAAAATTGAAATCTTGATCCTCCTTTTCAAACCTCCTTTACCCATTGCCTTCCCTATCTCACCGATGGCAACTCTATCTAGTTTCCAAGGTCAAAACACTTGAAGTCATCTGTACTGTCCTCTTTCTTTCAGACACTACATCCACGTGGCTCTAGCTTGAAAGAATATCCTAAAACCAGCCACTTCTCACCACTTTTGTTGCTGCCATCCTGATCTGAGTTTGTTACCTACATTGTTTCCAGCATTGCCCTCTCCAGTTTTTTTCTTCTCAGCAAGCTTGAGCCTGCCAGAGAGATCTTTAAAGACGTAGGTCAGATTGTATCACTCTTTTAACACTATACATTGGATTCCATTTCTCTCAGAAAAGTAAAGTCCTTTACAAAGGCCTACAAGGTTGTACATAATCCATACTCTCCTTACTTCTCCGGCCTCATTACTTTTTGCTCTCTTCCTATCTCATGCTGCCACAATCTGTGCAGACTTCTTTGGGTTCCTTGAACAAATCATTTATGCTCTTGCACTAACAATTTTCTCAGTGTAAAATGCTCTTCCTTCATGTATTTTCTTATTTAGTTTCCTCATCTTCAAATATTTGTTCAAATCATACCTTCTTAATGAAGCCCATGCTGATGACCCCATTTAACAATGCACCACTTAACTGCCACTCCTCTCCACCTTCCCACCCATTGCACTCCAAATCTCTTAACTCTGCTTTACTTTTTATTATCACTTCCTTACATACTGTATAATTTACTTACTTATTCCATTTATTCTTTATTGCTCCTCTCCCATGCAATGAGAAGTCTATGTGAACTGGGATCTGCATCTGCTTTCCTTTCTGATAGACACTAAGAACCTAGTATGGTGCTTGGCAAGTGGTGAACACTCAGTAAATATTTGTTGAGTAAATAAAACAATGAATAGATGATGGATGACTAAAGATAATTTTTATATGCTGGATATTATGCTAAGTACTCCATTAGTGCTACCTGCCATTATTGGTGTTGCTTTTTATTTGGCAGAGAGAAATGAATACATCTTAGGAGGATTTGGGAAAAAGGAAGAATAGGAAGGAAAACATTTTAGGTTGACATAGACTGTGGCAAGTGGATTGTGACCCAAAAATAAACCCTAGTATGCTATTGTTTTCTCTGTAAAAGCCCTCTGGAAGAAGGTGTCTTAGGGAGAGCATAGTTAGGTAATAATTTACCCAGAGATAATTACTACTAACAAAGATGAGTCTTTTCCCACCGTGACTCACTCAATGGAGACTACTTTTAAGTAATTATGTTGATTAAGTTTTATTAATCTTTTGGCACTGAACAAAATGATGCACTTTATTGGAGGACACTATTCACCACTGAGGTTTTAAAGCTCTTGGGGGAGCATTTGAATGAGTATAGAATTTGATGGCAGGGTTGATTTAGGAGTGGTTGTTCACGTTTTACTTACTTTTTCTCCTTTTATATCTTGAATGTTTGGGCAATTAGTGTGTTTAAGAGAGAACTGCAAAATTTTCTGATTACTTGGAGCATGTTTTTATGCCTTTTGAATTTTGATGCTTCATGTTCTTGTACTGCCCATTGCCTTAAATATGGCTTGAAATGGCTTAATTGCTATGTTAGGACTGGGAGTTTTATGGTAGACCCAGGGATATAGGTAGATATTTTTAAGTTAAATTAACCTTTTATATTACTGACATAATTCATACTTATTATAGACAATGATAAAATGCAGAAAAGATACAAAGAAAAATTAACTGTTATCTCTAGAGATAACCACTTGGCCTATTGGTGTGTTGTGCATGTTTTATTTTTAGTTATTTCAAAGATTGGATTTATTTCCCTTGGATTTTTTTTTTTTTAAGGGACAGTCTTACTCTGTCCCCAGGCTGAATCTGTCCCTAGGCTGGAGTACAGTGGCACAATCATAGCTCACTGCAACCTCTAACTTCTGGGCTGCAGCAATTCTCCTGTCCAGCCTCCTGAGTAGCTGGAACTAGAGGCGTGCACCACCATGCCTGGTTAATTTTTATTTTATTTTTTTGCAGAGACAGGGTCTTACTATGTTGCACAGGCTGGTGTCAAACTCCTGGGCTCAAGTGATCCTCCCTCTTCAGCCTCCCAAAGAGCTGAGATTACAGATGAAAGCCACTGTGCCAGGCCGAATTTATTAGTCATCAAACCACCTCCGAGTCTAGGCAGTGATTCCCAACCCTTTCTTGCATTATGGACCCCTCTGAGAGTGTAATAAAAGCTGTAGATTCACTTCCTTCAAATCCCTATATGGTTATGCACATAAATTTTGCATTTATTATCAGGGGTTTTATGGACAACCTGCATCCTGTAATAGCCTATGGGTTCTAGTTAAAATCCTTCATGTAAGGTACAAGCCTCTTTTTAAAAATTTTAAAATCTGATAAATTCTGAAAAATCAAAATGCTTTTCTATATTCCAATGTTTACACTTGTTCAAAGGTAACTATAGTGGATATCTGCTGCTTTTATCTGCCTAGTACCCATTTTATCCTTTTCTTCTGGTAACAGTGCCCAAGCACCCTTTTACAAGGGTGTGCACGTGACCCAGGTTGCATCAAGAAGAATATTGTTGGAGGCCGAAAGACTGAGGGTTGTGATCAACTCAGTATACCACTGGGGGCTATATAAGTAAACAGCAAACTGTTCTCGTAAACGCAGAATGTTGGCAAACTGACAAACTGGGTATGCCACCCAGAAGGAATGCTGAGGGCAGTCACGACCCAGGCACAAGTGTTTCTTGTGACTAGGCACATATGAAGCCTATTAGTAATCATATGAACCTATGATCAATTAAGCAGCTGACCAATAGTTACCTCCTCCTCCTTGATCTTGCTACCCAATAAATACAAAGGGCTGTAGAAGCTCAGGGGCTGCCTTTGCTCACTAGAAGCAGAGAGCTCTCTTCTTCTTCCCCTGGACCCTTTCCTTAAAACAGTTTCTTTTGTCTTTTGTTATCATTTCTGTGTTCATCCCTTCATTCAGTCTTGCAAATGACAGTCTCAGGCAGTAACAGTAGTAACTGCTGTAATGATGGTCTCAACTAGCAGCAGTGGCGGTTGGCCACAGAATATCTGATCTTAGAATAGCTAAAGCATGAGTTAAAATAAAAAAGACTAACATACTACCAAATATGTAAGAATCTATGCATCTGAATGAGTAATTTCTTTTCCACTGTAATCACTTTGGGAAATTTCATTTTAATTATGGCTATGTCATGGTTCAAAATGTTTTTGAATTTCTCTTCTGGAATTGCCTTTAAAGGAAATTTGTAGCTATAAAAGAAAGTCACATTATCAAAACCTTTGGTTGAAAGACTTCAGCAAAAAAGAAATTTATTGGCCCATGTAACTGGAAAGCATAGTTAGGAGCTCTGTTTTCAAACACAAGTGGATGGAGAAACTCAAACAGTACAATCAGGATCTAGCTTCTCTCTTCTTGTCTCTGGGACCTGCTTCCTATCTGTTGTCTCCATACGCAGACAGGTCTTCCTGTGTGGAAGCAAAAGCGACTATAGCATCCTTTCAGGCTGAAATCCCTTAGAAGCAGAGAGCATCATTTCTTTAGCTCCCAGAAAAGTCCCAAGACTTAGACTGCATGCAAACAGTTCTCTGAGGCTAACGGAGTGCAATGTGATGTTTGGTGTAGTCTAGGGGCATGTGCTTTCCCACGGAGTCTTGGTTCCATCCAAAATGCATGTACTAAGAATGGGAGAGGAGCTTAAGAGTCAAAACAGGTGACTATTGCTGGAAGAAAGGTACTAAAAATACTCTACAGTTAATGATTCTTTTAAAGTCACAACTTACATGTATTATCAGTTTCCAAACCTCAGAACTTCTTTAGCACACTCCTCTCCTCTACCATGGAAACTCACCATCTTAGCCTCCCCAAGGCTTCCTTGAAGTTTATGTGTATGTATGGCTTTGAGATTTATTAACCTCTCCATTTCCCCTGTGAGAAGGAGATTAAGTTTTGATAGTAGGAGCCCTCAGCATGCACTTGGAGTAATTTCTTATTCTGAGGTGCTTGATACTTTATTGAAAATTAGAAATTATTTTAAATTGTGAATGGGTTGGCAAGCTTTTTCTTACAGCACTTTGATTATCCCACTTCCTCCTGGTCTGGAAGGTTTCTGCTGAGAAGTCTGCTGATAGCCTATGGTTTCTTTATTTGTGATGAATCTCTTTCTTCTTGCTGCATTCAAAATTTCCTTTTTGTCCTTGACTTCTGACAATTTGACTGTAATTTGTCTTGCAGTGTTCTTCTTTGCATTAATACTGCTTTGAGTCCTTTGAGTGTCACAAAATCTGGATGTTTAGATTCCTCCCAAGAGTTGTGAAGTTTTCAGTCATTATTTATTTAAATAAGCTTTCTGTGTTTTTCTTCCTTTTCCTGCTGGAACTCCCAAAATTCATATATTTGTATGCTTGATGATGTTCCATAGGTCCCTAAACTTTTTTACTCCTTTTCATTCTTTTTTCTTTTTGTTCCTCTAATTGGCTAATTCCAAATTACCTGTTTTTGAGTTCTTAATTCTTTCTTCTTCAGATCAATTCTGCTATTCAAGCTCTTTATTAAATTTTTCACTTCTGTCGTTGTGTTCTTCAGCTCTAGAATTTCTGTTTGGTTTGTTTTTATGGTTTCTAGTTCTTTGTTAAACTTTTCATTTTGTTCATTCATTGTTTGCCTAATTTTGTTTAGTTGTCTATCTGTCTTCTCTTGCGTCTTGTTGAGCTTCTTTAAGATGCTTATTTAAATTATTTTTCAGCTCATTTGTAGATCTCCTTTTCTTTGGGGTCAGTTACTAAAGCTTTATTAGTTTCCTTTTGTGGTGTCATGTTTGACTGGTTCTTTATGATCTGTATGGCCTTGCATTGGTATCTGTATTTGAAGGAGCAAATGTCTTTTCCAGTTTTACAGACTGTTTTGGCAGGTAAAGACCTTCTGTCAGGTCCCTGGGATGATGAGATTGCCTCTGGGATTGTGGTTGAATCGGATTGGAGCTGGGTCATGTGGCCGCTGTTGGGTTTGCAGTGGAGTCTGTGGTTGGTGAGCCTCTTATCAGGACTGAATTTGGCATAATTCCTGTCTGGTCCTTGGGTGAACCAGACTGCCTCTGGGGCCTTGGCCAGTAGGACTGGTGCTAGAATGAAAGTCCACAGATGACACCAGGTGCACTGACAATGTAGCTTTCTTGGTTCCTGCAAGGGGTGTCACTGGGTCACTAGGTGAGTCCCTGGCCAAGCAGGACTGGCCCTGGACTATGGCTGAGAGGGGCTGGGGACTGAGTTACAGGGCTGAGTAAGGGGCCATAGCCAAGGCTGGGGTCTGCAGGCCTGCCTCTGGGGTTACTGATGAGCATATCTATTGGTGGTTCCCTAGGTGGGCAGGACTACTCCCAAATGGTAGCTGAGAGGGCTTAAGCTGAATTACAGGCTCTTTTGGATCTGCTATGGGACTGCAGTCAGCAGGCCTGCCTGCAGGGACACAGATGGGTGCATATCTCTTCCAGTCCCTGTATAGGCAGGATTGGTCTCAGACTGTAGCTGAGAGGGGCTGGAGCTTAAGGACAGGACCACTTCAGGGTCCTAGCTGGGACTGAGGTCGGCAGGTCTGTCATGCAAAACATTAGTAGGCATGACTGCATCTGGGTTCCTGGCAGATGGTTCTGGTGGCCAGATCAAGGCCAAATAAGGTTGCAGCTGAGTACACAAGAGAATGAGGCTTTTTCTAGGTCTGGAGCCAGGAACTCACACAGTTGGTGAGTCTGCCACCTGGGCATGGGTCTGCCCTTTCAAAGTGGTCCTCCTCAGTCATAGGTTCCGCCAGACTTTCACAACTTCCTACATGAATCCCAACACGAAGGTACTTTTGTTCATGGATGGCTGTGAAACTGTTATTGCTGTGGGGGAATAAAGGGGGATACCTCCTATTCCACCATCTTGTTGACATTATTGCTCTAAATTCTTTCTTGATTATCTTTAAATATCTTTTCTCAGCAGAAATTTCTCAAGAACATACCAGCTCTGAAGGACAGACTAGGAGATGTTTTTGTCACCAGTTCTGTCTTTTAGATATAAATTATTTTCCATTGGAAAAGCAAAATGTTCACCTGCTATAGCTGAGAAAATCCTTTAGTGTGGGCTGTCTCTAGCAGTGCAGTGTCACCTTGGCTAGGCTGCTGCCAACACCCACGGACCCCTGTTATTGCCATTCTCAGCAGCACATGTCCTACTTTTATTTAAATAGCATAAAGGTTGGAGCTGGAAAAGAGAACAATATCCAATTTGGCATTTGAAGCAAGTGTTATAAATATAGACTGTAGAGATCCTAGGAAGGAGTGAGGTTTGGTGGTCCTAGATGAGAAAGGAGATTAAAAACCACCTCATAATTGAGTGTTTGAGTTAGAAGGTACCATAGAGGTCACTAGTGCTACCCTCCCCCTCCTCACCTTAGAGATGAGGAAGCTGAAATCCAGCTTGATGACATGACTTGGTTAAGTTAGCACCAAATCTGCAACTAGAACTCAGGTCCCCTCACTTTTGGGACAATGCTATTTCTATTATATTCAACTCTGCTTTCTGTTTCTTTCAGACTTGGAAGTCAGTGATAGCACGCTGGTAGGATATTTTCCTGTAGATCTGGATTTTGTAAGACAGAAAAAATTCAGTTGCTGACATGAAGAAATTTGCTAAGACTTGTTGTTCCTATACTCAGTGTGATGGTTAATTTTATATGTCAACTTGGCTGGACTGCAGGTCCGAGATATGTGGTCAAACATTATTCTGGATGTTTCTGTGAGGGTGTTTTTGTATGAGATTAACATTTAAATCAGTGGAATTTGAGTAAAGCAGATTGCCCTCTATAATGTGGTTGGGCCTCCTCCAATCAGTTGAAGGGCTGAATAGAACAAAAGATTGACTTCCCCTGAGCAAGAAGGCATTCTGCCAGCAGATGGCTTTTGGACTTGAACTGCTGCTTTGGCATCTCACTGAGTCTCCAGTGTGATGGCTCACACTGCAGATTTTGGACTTGTCAGCCTCCATAATCATGTGAGCTGATTCCTTAAGATAAATCTTTTCTTATGTGTATACACACACACACACACACACACACACACACACATATCCTATTGGTTGTATTTCTCTGGAGCACTCTGACTAATATACTTAGTGGAATATTTGTTTCTCTAATCCAGCATTTGGACCTTAAATATTTGTGCCCAGAACATCTTGTCTGATATTTTGGGTAATCATGTGCTATTATTTATTTCCTTTGTCCGCTGCAAACACAAAGAGGCTTCTCTTTTATTTTGGTATTAATAAAAGAAAATCTTTAACAATTATGTCAAGTTTGGGCAATTAGATTGTTTCTTCCTCAGTTATGGAGATTATTTCATAATAGAATCCTGAGTATCTTTATCAAATTCTGAGACCAGTGCTACTGCCTCTACCTATTGAAGGCTAAGATCACTTTTTAGCTCAGATGCCAAAGATGGCAAAAAAGTAAGCAAACAACAACTCAGTTTTCATTCCTTTTCTAAAAAATTGGTTGTTTTTGTTCTGTCCAGTCCTCCATCTTGCTTCCCCAAGGTACTCCCAGGTCCTTTGCATCCTCCTTTTTTGTACTAGTTAGAGCACTTTCACTCATGAATAAAGAATAGCCCAGCTCAACCTAGCTTAAGCCAAAATAGCATTTTATTTGCTTATGTAACAAAAAAGCCTGAGGAAAGATCTGGGATATAGGCGACTACAGAATCTCAAGCATTGTCACAAAGACCTAGTCTTCCTCACCTCCCTGCTTGATTTTCCTTTGTTGCTTTCAGGCTAGGTTGCCATTAGCATTGGCAAAATACAGTCAATAACTTCTAGCTCACATCTTCTCCACTTAAGAGCATGGCAGAAAAGAGTGCTAACAAAACTCCTGGGCCTAACCCTTATTGGCCAATTCGATTATCTGTCTGTCTATTACCAAATATACTGATTAGCTTACTACTGGATCATATGCCCACCTTCATACCTGAGTTTGGATTGTTCTCTATCAACCCACATGTACAAAGAGTAAGGAAGAGGTGGTTTTCTCAAAAGAAAAGATAAATGGATGCCAGGTAAATACAATTAATAGTGTATACTACATCATCCTTGTCCAATTTGAACAAATTGTGTCTGGCAGGTGGGTAAGAGGCAGTGGAAAGGAAAACTAAGAAGCTCAGTCTTCAACAGTTCCACCTATGCTTCTGATAATAGGAGTCAGGAGATAGAGAAAGAGCACTGGTCTAGAGGGTCACCTCATAATTTTAGAAACAGATGATGTTTCCTGGAAGGCTTTAAAGTTCTAGAATGGAGGTTATAGATATGTTTAGTCCCTCCTTACCTTGCAGTAGCATTTTCTCACTGAATTTTTTTTTTTTTTTTTTTTTTTTTTTAGACAGAGTTTTGCTCTGTTTTCCAGGCTTGGAGTTCTGTGCTTTGAGCTTGGCTCACTGCAGCCTCGACCTCCTGGGATCAAGAGATTCTCCCACCTCAGTCTCCTGAGTAGCTGGGACTACAGGTGTGTATCACCATGCCTGGCTAATGTTTTGATTTTTTTGTAGAGACAAGGTCTTGATATGTTGCCCAGGGTGGTCTTGAACTCTTGGCCTCAAGCAATCCTCCTGCTGCAGCCTCCCAAAGTGCTGGGATTAGAGGCGTGAGCCACTGCACCTAATCTTCATTGACTATTTTATTGTCAGCTCCAGGACCTTCACTTTCATTCCTTTTTGTGGTTTGTCACAGATTTCAGAGTTAAATACTAGAAGGTAATGCTCCATGATGAAAGGGGTTTTAGGCCTGTTACCAAATGCTTAAAAGAGTATTGGGCTGTTTGTAGACAGTCAAAAAATACTCATGGAATAAATGGTTGGGATGCACTGCATATGTTATTTTACATATGGCCTCAGCATGAATTGATAAAATGTCATGATAATGAATTCTTTTTTATTCACAATACTTTATATTTTATTTTATTTTATTTTTTATTTTTATAGAGATGAAGTCTCACTATGTCGCCCGGGCTTGTCTCAAACTCCTGAGCTCAAGCTATCCTCCTGCCTCAGCCTTCCAAAGTGCTAGAATTATAGACGTGAGCCACTGTGCTCAGCCTACATTACTTTTTATGATGAGATTCTTTATGGTTGACTGTTTAAAAATTAAACTTTTAATTTTGAAATAGTTGCAGACTTACATGAAGTTATAAGGAATAATACAGAGAGAGCTCGTGTAGTTTTTACCCTGTTTCCCCCAGTGGTCAAATCTTGCAAAACTCTAGTATAATATCACAACTAGGACCTTGAAATGCTGACATTGATGCAGTCAATCTGGATGACTTTTTAAACATTTTTTTTTTGTGGTTGTGGTAATCGTTTATGGCCACAATTTCTTCTATCCAAAGTGCATGCTCTTTGGCAATGTAACTTTGCTGTTTCTGTAATTTAGAGGCGGAATCTTTTGTTTTATTTCTTTAAATTTGGGCCAGATTTGTTTTGCTTTGACCAGTAGAATTTGGTAAAAGTTATGTTGTGTCCCATAGTCTAGGCTTCAAAAGGCCAGATACATTTTACCTCCTCCCTTGGTATGTTTTCCTGAGATCCTCTTGTACGGAAGACTGTCTAGTCACTGGAAGATGAGAGACCATGTGGAGAACCCAGCCAACAGCTAGAACCAACTGCCAGACATGTGAGTGAGGCCATCTTGCACCTCCCAGCCAGCTGACTGCCTTGCTGATGCATGAATAAGCCCAGGCAAAACTAGCAGAGGAACTGCTGAGTCAAAACCCACAGAATTGTAAGAAAGAATAAATCACTGTCTGGGCTTCGTGGCTCACGTCTGTAATTCTAGCACTTTGGGAGGCTGGCACTTTGGATCACCTGAGGCCAGGAGTTCGAGACCAACCTGGCCAACATGGTGAAACTCTGTCTCTATTAAAACTACAAAAATTTGCCGGGCATGGTGGTGGGCCCCTGTAATCCCAGCTGCTCGGGAGGCTGAGGCAGGAGAATCGCTTGAACCCGGGAGGTGGAGGTTGCAGTGAGCCAGATCACGCCACTGCACTCCAGCCTGGGCAACAGAGTGAGACTCTGTCAAGAAAAAAAAAAAGACATTGTTGCTTTAAACCATTAAATTTTTTTGCCAATCACCACTAAAAATTCCATTTGTATATATCCAAATTCAGAAGCAAACAGAGGGTAAAGTGGTGTGCTACTGTGACTGCAGTCTAACTAATTTGAATCTATTAGCCCTCCATCATTTCTATGTCAGCATAGCCTTACCATTAATTTTTAGAATACTTGTTATATTGCAGAGGGTAACTGTGACAGCAGTGTCTCACACTGAGAATCTTTAGGTATAAAGACTCAGGTTTTGTTCTTGGATTTTGATATGGTGACGAGCAGGTAAGGATTGACTATGTATAGTTTGAATTTTTTTTCCCTTAAATACATAACCTGTCAGTTGATTTCATCTTATTATGCTTCGACTCAGCTATATATCAAGAAAATCCGATGAATGCCAGCCTTCATATCTCTCTTATTAGCATGTGGAATTTTTAGTGATAATTGGCAAAGAAATATAATGGTTTCATGTAGATACAGACTCAGACTCTGTTTTTTAGGTTAATATTTATGTAGACTTAAATCTAGTGAAACAAATGTTTCAGTGGAAAAATCCACATTATCATATTTTAAGATAAGAATGGAAATCTAGAGTTCAGGCTCAAGATGGCAATTCAAAGACTCTTTACATTTTCTGAAAACCATTCAGTAGCTATCATTTTGATTTTTATGTTGATTCTAATATTAACACCAATGGTAAGTCTTTAACAAGATATGTTCTGAAAGGGTACAATGTTTCAGAAATCCCAGGAAAATATCTGGACGTGCAGAGATTTCTGTAGGTAGTAAAGATATGAATGAGCTTATATTTACTGACCCTTTACAATGTTTTTTTTCTCAGAGATATTAAAGATTCATCAAAAATACCAATGGGTAGATCTTACTTTAAATAATGGTTAGGAAATCTATCTTTAAAGTTAGATTCTCAGGGTAAAAATCTAATTATATTATTTAGACTGTAGGACCCTTGGCAGACTGCTGAATCTCCTTGTGCCTTAGTCCCTACATTTATAAAATAGGGGCAAAAATAATACTGTGTAAGGCTTTTTATGAGGATTAAATGAGAAAATGTACAATTTATACCACATAATAATTATTCAAATGTTACTTAATGCTATGCCCCCTCGTTACTTCTCAGATTGCAGCTATTATTGCACTTTATATTCCTGTTTTGGCCACTAATATGAACTGTCTTATTCCTAGCTTCTTGTTATAACTTTAGTACTCCGAACACTTAACGAAAAGCCAACAACTTGTCTAGTTTAAGCTTTTGTTACCATTAATAAATGTTTACTAGAAGGTCAGCAAAGTGTAGCATGAGAGAAGCTCCCACTGGGTCCAACCCAATCACTGTGGTGTGTTTGCTGTTGTCATAGTTATTTATCTTCTGTGGACATCCCTTCTACTTCCTCTGAGGGAGAAGATAGAGAAATAAAGATTTCTGAAAATTGCTGCTTGCTAGTCCCTTTGGGATCAGGTGAAGAATAGGACCCTTGAAATGAAAATGACCTCTCTTTCTCCTGGCTGTACTTACCTCTCCAAGACATATTTGTGATCAGGACCCAGTCATTCTACCAAAGTGAAAGGCTTGTTTCCATTTATTAAATCATTAGCTGGGTCATTGACCCCCTCACATATATGACAGGGTTATGTCAATCTGAAAATTGATGAAAGCTAAGTCCTTAACAAGATCCCTCATACTTTCCTCTGAATAGCTGTGATTCATTTTGGCTGCTAAATTCATTAGAAGGCATATTCTGGGTCTTCTGGATGCAAATAAAGCTGCATGCGATGTACCCAAATTCAGAAGTAAATGAAGGGTAAAGTGATGTGCTAGTGTGACTGCAGTCTGACTAATTTGAATCTATTTGCCCTCCATCATTTCTGTGTCAGCATAGCCTTACCAAAGTGGATTCTGTGAAGCTGATTGAATCACAGCATCTAGAAGCCTAATAAATTAGCTGCTGAAATGTAAATACTGACCTGGGGAATTTTGCATGGCTAATGAAGTTCGAAGTGCATGATTACATTATACCACTTTACCAAAACAGCCAATAAATGTTTACAAATCCATTTGATCTACTCAGGTCGTCTGCTCGAAATATAGGTGGGGTGATTATATTTCAATAATAACTTAGTTCTTCTAAGGAGAACAGCATGAAAGGAATGAAGCAGTAGACACAGAGTGAGTGGCTGCTTTGAGTCTTGGTTTCAAGGATGGCTGATGTACAATCCTTTCAAAGTTTTCTGTTTGGTGATTACAGTATCAACTCTAAGAACAAGAAGCTTTCTGCCAATAAGTCACGCAAATAGTTTTGGTTCTGGAAGGAAATTGAGGGGTGAGTGGAGAAAAGAGAACACAAATGCTTTGTGCTATGAATGCTGTATCTTTCCATCTGAAATCTGTAAATACAATATAGATTTTCCTGGCATTGCATTCGATTTGGCAGATCCTTCATTCCATTGATCTTGAAGGTAATAATATTTATCATAGTGTAATCCTTTAGTAGAAGCAAAAATGCTTCTGACTGAAGAGACATTCCAATTATTCATGTCCCTTTGTTATTGTGCTATTATCTTTATGTTTATTTTGTTTGACTGTTTTGGTAAAGACAGAACAGGCTGAGAAAAACATGAATTTGAAATGGTACAGCGTGGGTACCCTGGAAAATAGTAAATGCATGTATAATTTTTCACTTTGAATTAGAGGCAAAGTTCCTTTCTAAATCCAAAACATAATTAATTATAAAGGTAGCCTATTTTGTTTAGATCATTTAAAATTTCAAAGTGTGTTGTTAAATACATAGATTCTTTCTTTTTGCCTCTTCCTGTCTGAATCTTTGCTTAAAGCAAGGGCCTCTCGATGGAACACAGGGAATCTTTAGAAAGCAGTAATTAAGCAAAATGAACACAATTGGGAGTGTAGAGACTTGGTGCAAATTATGCTTTTCATAGCCCTCAGATATATTTAGGTATCTGGACAAGCTAAATTCACATCCCAGTGCTACACAGTGTGTGGGTGCCCTCCTACTCTGCTGCCCTTCAGATAATAGCAGGGCTTAGAGTAGGGCATTAGGAGGGTGACAGAGGGACATGCTTAAACCTATAGTCACCTCAGAGGAGCTTTCTTTCAAGCCAGACTGGTTCAGTCATACAAAGACTCTCCACACGTGGCAGAGGGATTTGGCTCCAGGACACAGAGAAATGCCAGGAATTCGATAGGTTCATTGAATACTCAAATAACTTGATTGTCTTAGATGACCTAAACCCATAGGCCTGAGTCTGCTGGGCCACCTGATTCCATATCCCAGCTTGACGCTAACCTTAACCCTAAATTTGGTTATTTATGGCATTAAGTTCCAATCTTATACTTTAACTAGTTCAGCTGATAATAGCCAGCTTATGGGTTACCAAAAAATATATATGGAGCTAGGACATCTTGGCAAAAGCTTTGGGAGTTTAAGGGGAGGAGAAGGGGAGCAACTCTGGGGAATCACTGACAATATACAACTTTCTAACCTATAACTGTTAAAATATGCCCCTGTGAAGATGAACATGAGGCTGAGAAATTAGGCAGATCCCAGTGTATCATGAATAGTCGTGGATGCACCATCTAGATTACCTTTCAAGGAAGGGCTTGTTGCCCCAGTTGGTGGGAGTGCTCTCAGAAGACACCTTGGAGGCATTGTCACAGCAGCAGAGAACCACCTGCTCACCGAAGGCCATATTCTTGGGCAGCCCGTATCCAATGGCTTAACTAGGCTTGGCCATTTTGGCCAAACACAGGACAACTAACAATCCTTGCTTGCTTCACATCTTCCTCTGACATTGACTTGCTTTGCAGTGTGACTTCTTTTTCTACTCAATCCTACTTCCTTCTTCCCAAAAGCACACCCTGTGCATGAAATTCCATCTCAGAGTCAGCGTCCCAGAGAGCCCAGTCTGAGACACAATTTGAACAATTAGGTCTCATTTGGAAATGCAGCTAAAATTTAGTGAGTTAGGATAAAAGTGTCTTGGTTTGAAAAGTAAAGAAGGAGATTAAAATCCTTAAAATCCTTTGCCAAGCTAGCTATGTTAGATCCGATATTTAGGACATTGTATCCTAAGGAAGTATCATATTAAAATATCACTAAATAATTATTATTTCAATGAATTCATTGGAAAGTCTGCCACTTAAAAGACTATTAGGAGACAGAGTTAATAAGGCCCTAACCAGGTCACAGGGAAAGGAGACCAGTATGGCATAAGGGAGCTAGGTATCAATAGCAGTAGTCATAAAAGATACGACTTACAGCATCCCTTGCTGAAGACCCTGTTATACAATTTTCATTTACTGTGAATCCTGTGGTAGGATTCTCTGTGGTTGCTCTTAGAGTCATGAGGAATAGAGGCATCTATTTTTCTGTGTTTCCACAGTCCTCATTCCTTTATTAAAGGAATATTATTTGCAAGCTGGCCTTCCCCATTACAGTATAAGTTCTTTAAGGGCAAATGGTCTTAGTTTGGGTTGCCGTGAAAGCAGACAGTGAAACAAAAATTGGAATGCAAGTAATTTCTTTTCCTTTTTCAAGGGGAGAAATACAGAAAATACTGACAGGGATGTAGAAAATAATAGTGCAAGGGAGAGGAGGCCAATAAATTGTCCATTATTAAGATGGTAATACTGAGCCGCTCCTGTGTCTCAGCATTCTGCCTCTCCAGTGTCAAAGAAATTAGAGTGTTTCCATACCCACTCCAATTAATCATTGCTTGAGAGCTGTAGAAGGCAAGGTATAGGAGGCTGAAGAGGCATAGGGAGGTGGTAATTCTCTGTGACTTCTGACCTCCATTGTCTGGAGGAGTGGTTTTCTGGAAGAATTATTCAAGCTCAGAGATGCAGATACTAGCAGATGGAAGTTGACACACACCAAATCGGTGAAGTCTGAAATATATGGGTGTGGGGAGATAAGCTTACAATGGGTGTTCAAGCATAAATTTTATTATTTACTCTTATATTTCCCTTTACCTGCACTGGGCCTGGTCCATAGCATTTGCTCAGTCGCTATTTATTAAACGCCTTAAAAATGAGACCAAGCTCAACTATGTGGTCCTTCCATGTGAGGGTCCGAGACTCTCAGCAGAGGAGAGAAGATGCATGTGTGTGGCTTGGGTCATCTCTTGCTTCTGAAAGAGAGAATAGAGAGGGTAAAGCACACTTAGACTCAGTTCTTAAAGATTAATGTAATACTTGGTTTCCTTGAT
Source organism: Homo sapiens (assembly GCF_000001405.40). Taxonomy (NCBI): domain Eukaryota; kingdom Metazoa; phylum Chordata; class Mammalia; order Primates; family Hominidae; genus Homo; species Homo sapiens. The sequence continues at coordinate 72,104,434 of NC_000012.12, forward strand.
AAGCTCTAAATTAAAGTTAGAAATTGCCTAGTGCAATTCACAAAGGTGCGTACACAAGAAGGGAGAAAAAAAATTCTGATTACAGTTTTATTTGCTGACACTCCTTAACAATTTATGTTCAAGTGCTATTTTGCTAATTAATGGCTGCTCAAGAAATGCCATGTGTCAGCAACGAGTCACTTACTTTTGTTGCTCTTCATTGGTATATGGATAATGAACAAGGACAAGTCACATAATTAAAGCTGAAAATAGCCTGGCTGTGGGACAGAGGCCTGTTAATAAGAAAAAGATATATTTTCCAGTATCCATGCCACACTATTAACAGTTAAACAAGTGAAAAACACAAGAGGGGACTTTATTGACATATGTAACTCAATAGCCAAGGACTTGGAACAGTGGGTAGAACTAGCTTCAGGGACATTTTGAACCAAGAAGTAGAGCATCCATATTTCCACTTCACATCTCTCATCTTTGCCTCTCTCTGTGCTCCCTTTATTTTCTCATGCTAGCTTTTCCATAGAGTTGGGACCATGGCTGTTAGCAGCTCCACGCTCACACTAATGCAGCTCAATGACAGAGAGGAGAGGGCTTTTCTTCTCCATCAAGTGTGAAGTACTTCAAGGAGGGACTAACCAGCTGTGAGAGTCAGATAGCCAAGGAAGTGGGCCTCAGACTTTAGAGCTACCATGTTTGAGGGAACATTTTGCAGAAGGGGAAGATGCTGTCAAACAGTATCAGCAGCAGTACAAGGAAGTACATGGTTAAAATTCTGGGTGAACAGTCTGCATTAAAGCTGCCATTGTAACTCAGAGAAGGTGTGGGGCATGGCTCAAGTGGTTGGGGAGGTGGGACTGGAACAGGAATTTGATTAACGGAGAGATCACAGAGAAAAGAGCATTTCAGATAAGTGATGCTAAGTGAATAAGGCATGGATTCAGGATTAAATGCAGGGCAATGGGAAGAGTGGTCTAGCCAGAGCAGAGCTGGTCTGTGTTTGGGAGTAGAAAGAAAGTGGAGGAAAAGTAAGATTATGGACAGCTGTGAATGCCAAGCATGGAAATCACAATAGAATTTTCAGCCAGAGAATAATATAATAATGGTAATAATAAAAAATACAACACTCCGGGTCAGGAATTATTTGAAGTGCTTTATATAATATTATCTCATTTAGTCCTTACAATAAGTCCATAATTACAATTATTATTATCTTACAGAAGAGAAACTGAGGCACAAGTGTTATGTGGTCAAGATCATACAGCTAATAGGTGGCAGTCTGACTCCAAGTCTGTGCTTTTCACTGCTGTGCTATGCCACTAAAGGTAATACATCTTAAAGTTTAATAACACCTGATATGTGTATAATGTTTTACACACAACAAAATACTTTATTTCATTTGAGCTTTGTAACAATCCCCTGAATTTAGTAGAGCAGTTATTTATTTCTATCTTTATTTTATTTTTGAAACCATTCAAATATACCTCTCTCTTCCTAGGCAATTTTCCTACATTCATATGGCTGGAAAGTGGTTGAGATCAGACTAGAGTTAAGAGCTCTTGAGTCATGTTAGTGTTTTTGCCTTGCTGCCTGAACATTAATGTATTGCTGGTGGATGATATCAGAATGTGGCCTGGGGAGTAACCAATGGGGAACAGATGATCAGGAGGCTGCCTGCAACATCAGAGGGTTGTGAGAGTCTGAGCTACAGTAGCACTGTTTACCTTCCAAGTCAGGAGGACATTTTTCAATTTTTAAAATTAAATTCAATGTCTCTGATTTCCTGAAAAAGTGAAACTAACCATATTCAGATTTTTCCTGAGGAAAAAATCACTTAAAATATTGAAATTGTCTACTTTAAAAGTTTAAACGTTGTAAATCTAAGATTTTATTCAATAAATGTGAAAAATACTAAAAAATTATTGTTAATTGATTTTAGTTAAAGAAAAAGGTAAATAAACAAAAGTGAAGGAAAAGGGGTGAGTTAAAAGGAAATATATACTGAGAATAACAGATATGAGAGAGAAAGACAACGAATGAGATTATATATGTATAAGAAACTAGCACAGACTGGCACATTTTATATGTGTAAATGTAGTTAAAGAAGCTCAATACATTCTTAGATGTATTTTAGCTTGCAAAGTTGAAAGTGAATAACTTTTGTAATATTGATCCCTCAGAGATCTTTTACCTGTTTGAAACCTTGACTATTTATAAATTCTACTCTTACTGTGATAGGCCAAAGAATCCGATATAGTGGATATTGCCACATTGTAAAAGCATTGATAATTTACTTATTGCCTCTATTTTCATTCACTCATTCATTCATTCATTCAACAGATATTCATTGAATATCTCCCATTTGCCATATACTATTCTAGGTGGTCCTGGTTTTTAAACAATACTCTGTGTGGTAGAGAGAAAACTTCAGGTGTGCAACCATATCCAAAATACTTTCTGATCTGTGATCTCATCAGCAACCCATAGGGTACCATCTTCAAATAACAGATGATGAATCTGAGATTTAGGCCTACAGGTTGCAACTTGAACTTCTCAACATCTGATCAGAGAAATATCACTCCAAGACTGTGTAGACTCAAGCCAAGTGCTGGAATTGGTCTTCTATTTGCATATTCCCTACTCATATTCTAAGTTTTATCTAAATGAATAGTAATGACATGTCTATTTTAATTAATTCTGTTCCTACCTTAATGTATCCATACACTTTGTTGCTTTTTAGCCAGAAGAAAATTATAAAAATTAGGCCAGGAGTAACAGTTAATTTTGGTGTAGTCCCTCAAAAATATGAAGGTCTAATAATGTGCTATCCCACAAATTCATTGGCAGCTTTGTTTTTTACTTGTCGGAAGTTCATTTCCAATTATCCTCAGACTGCTTCTCACTGATAGAAATCTGGTATCATAAAGTCTTTGGTACCAATGGGGTTTATTTTCTACCCAACGTTGAGGAGCAAAATGCAATAATCACCTAAATATATGCTAAAATATTTAGGAGCACACAAAGTGAGAGATGCCTCTGGGGTTTAGCCGTAACCTGTGACTTCATCTGCTGGATCTCTCTGTTGATTGGATGTAGGTAATTAGGTGAACTCTCTTTCTGAACTCTTTAGAATCTTCCAACAGATTGGACTGTTCTCTGTTTTCTATCTTCCACAAAGAGTTCTACATTGCTACAGCCTGGAGCTAAATCCTAAAGGTGCCCATGGCATTTGCAGACACAGAATTTTCAGCCTTCAAAGCTACTGTGGCTCTTAAATGGCTGACTTAAACTGCTGGATACCACAGAGACTCTGCAGGACTGAAAATTATCAATGGCTTTGATCATTTGCTGAGAATTTAAAATGAACTTATTACAGGGCCTGTTTAGACATTTTTTGAAATCTAATTTAGACATTTTTTGAAATTTAATGAATTGATTTATTGAAGAATACTTCACTGTTTCACATGTTGGTTTAAAGGACTGTATACTTGCTTCCCTGGAACCGTGTATTCTAATCACCCAACTAATGATGTGACCTTTTGTTTTGCCTGCTTTCCTCGGGTGTTTTTTCACAGTTCAAGTACAAATATTGCCTGTATTTCAAATATAAAAATTATGGCTTCCTAATAAAATGCTAGGGACAGCCAGGAGAAGGCATAGCACTAAAATCCAAACCAGCCAATTCTGGGAAGTGGTCTTGTTTCACACCAATAAGTGAGAAAAGCAAGCATGACTTGCTCAGAAAAACAAGAATCATTAAAAGTGATATTGTTGATTGTAGGGCAGCAAAACTGCTTTTTATGCAAATAGATGGATTTGTAAGAACTAGGTTAGTTAAGGAGTAGATAGGCTGAATTTTGTTGTTGTGGTGAATACTGAAACTATCAGAAGAACAGTTCTTACCCCTCATCCAGAATAGAAGAAATAGGAAGATATATGAATGATTTTCAGTTTTTACATATGTTGACAGAATAGTTATAATATAATATGATAGATATTACAAACTCAGAACACTGATACATATATTTTTTCAGGCTAACATCATCCTGTTTGCAAAATGGACAGATGCTGTTTATTTTTGCAAGTAGTCAACTAAGCTAATGTGAGTGCCAGCTTCTTCTTCGATGTTTCAGCTTTAAGAAAGTTGCATTAATGGAGGGCAATTATGGTAATTTGAATTAGAAATGGAATTATGGTAATTGAAAACTTCTGCAGTGACAGGTATTTGCGAGAACCTGGTGTTCTGGTGCAGTTCAGAACTGCTATTAAACCCATGGTAATTAGCATTTTCGCCCCTGAAATGGTTGAAAGAATACGGGAACATAAAACAAAATTTGACAGTATGAGAAGGGAACTGGCAACAATATCAAAACCTACAGTCAACACAAAGAAACACAAACACACGAATGGTCTTAGACTTTTTAAAAATAGAGAATCAGAAGAAAATCACAGCTTTGTGTAGGCCACTGGGGAGGGAAGCATTTGTGTTATAGGTCTGCAATATAGAGCCATTTGCAACAGAAAGATGAAGCAAAGAAAGCCATTCTTGTTTTCTGGCTTCATTTCCAAATCAATTGTTGCAGAGAGGTCCATAGGTCCCCACAACACAAAGCATTAGAAAGCTACAACAAAATTAGATGAATCACTCCACAATTATCATGTAGTCATTCAACAAATGTTTGTTGATTGCCTACTATGTGCTAGGCAATTTGTCAGGTGCTAGTGGTGTGATGAAGACTGGGTTCCTGCCCTCACAGAGATGCTGCAGTAGAGTAGAGTAAGAATTGACATCAATTTGGCCCACCTTAAAGATAGGAATATATCCTGTTACGTCTAAAGCTTATACTCTTAGCCTCTCTCATACTATAAAAGATGCTATTTTTGCTCTTAATCTCTTAAGCTTTCTTTTTGTCTTTGTGATTTCTCCTGAGGTTTCTAAGGATAGTCAAAGAAAAGAGTGTCTATAAATTAGTATATGCTTGGCTGCATATAACAGAATACCTGACTAAAAATATATATGCGACTTAACTAATATCACATAATAAGTAAGAAATTCTAGAGTTAGTATAGCAGGTCAATGGTATCACTAACAACTAGGCTCCTACTGTTTCCGACTGCTATTTTCTCTATGGTGGCACTTTCTCTAGTGGTGACAAAATGGCTGTCAAAGCTTTAAGTTAATGTCTTTACACAACAATGTTTTAAACAAAACAAAACAAAAGGTGAAAGGAAAAAATACCTTCCCCCTCATTTCTAGGGGAGATATTTTCCCCCAAAATCACTAGGAGACTTCTCCTTATATTTGTGGAAACTGCGTTATATGTCTACTCTTAGAACTTTAATTGGTGAACTGGAATGGGATTGGCATGACTGGTTTAGATAAATTGTTACTCATTGCCTGTGGCTGAGCACATTCCCTTTCTATGAAAATTGGGCTTTACTTAGCAGGAAAAGAGGGAAATGGCTTTGGTTACACAGGCATCTCTGTGCAGTCAGAGATGATGGAAAAGTCTGTAGGTACTTTCCTTCGAATTATACATGTGTAATTTTTCCTCTTGGGTCAAATAATTTTTGAAACATCTCTCTGTTAAAATGCAAATGCTTCTGGGAAAGCCATCACATCACGTTCCTAATGCCTCAGTCTGTTGGATACACTTTAATAAGAGAAAATGGGACACTATCACTGGGAATCTGCAAGTTTAAGATGAGGTTAACAAAATAGGAAAACCATGTAGAAATGTGGGATTGGGAGTGCTGAGGACACATTTTCCCTATATAATAATTTTACTAAACTTTTGTGTAAAACTTGATTACTCCAAGCGAGGTCATGTATATTGACACCTTTTATCTGTAGAGTGCTTTATCCTGTGGGCATTTCATTCCTACAACAGTCAGGTGAGATAAGGCCTCCCTTTACAAGTGAGGAAGACAAGGTACAGAGAGTTTAAATAACATGTGGATTGAACCTGCTCAGGTCTGATGTCAAAATTCACCTTTTTTTTTTAATTGCCCCACATTTCTTCTCAAAGACCAGCATAGAAGGAAAGTCATTTGAATCTGAGGATATGGTTTATTAGAGTTTTCTGTCTGTTGTGAATTTCTTTGTTATTCAACGCTAATTTCTACATAACATACCTCTATCCCAGCCAGAGTACAAACACATTGGGGAAAAAATTTTAAACTTTATCGAATATCTTAGATTAAATAACACTAGGTTCTTTTGATAAGATATTAGGTAATTAATATTCTGACTCTAGGTGATGCCATGATTGCTGTTCTACAATGATTTATTCCATATGAACTGTGGGTAGGAGATTTTACATTGAGCAGAGTTGTTTCAATATAGACAGAGGAAAGAAATAGTGATCTATAACTCTAGCAGAAACTGTTGTTTTGTAAACGAGCCTAAATGGCCAAGTAAAGATTTGTGTTATTGTTTTAATGGGAGGAAATGATGAAAAATAGAGTACAATTCCGATGTGCTCAAATGAGAACCATGCCCTATTAAGTTGGCAAGTACAAGTATGTCTCTTTTCCTGTCACTCTCAGGCAATCTATGTTTGTGAAATGTGTCGTATAGACTCTAGTTCAGCAGAGGGTAATTGACCAAGTCAACTTCGCCAGTCGGTGCTTGTCATTACCAGCTATAATTCCATGTCCCCTGTGAGGAATCTGAGGCACACTTTAGTTACTGGAGTCCCTCTTTAAGAGAAAAAATGTTTTCTGGCTGTTGAACGTTAACTCATGTTTCAGATGTGATTGAAACAACGCAGTAGTCCATTTCAGAGAGCAGGAACACTGGTTCTATTGATAATCTGATTTCCTTATCCTGATGATGTATGTTAGATACATGAGTTTGTGTGTATTTGACAGCCCCTGGTGATAAAGGACTGTAAGCAAAAGGAGAATCTGTGTGTTAACTGTTTCTACTCAGTTTCTCATACTATTTAACAAGCAAACATACAAAAAGGCAAACCTTCCCTCAGTAGTTTAGAAAGGCTACTTATTTTCTTTATAAGTAGAAAGTGGAATGAAACAGCTCATTGTACTGGAAACAAAATCCCATTTGGGACTATGAAAGAACAATTTGACAATTATCTCCCTAGTTCTAAGGTCTGAGGGAGAGAAATGACAACATTTTATTATAAAGCACTTTTAATTGAAGTAATTAGAAGCAAGAATGCTTGTTCAGGCTGAAAGATTGTCAGAAGGGAAATAGATTTCTGGTCCAGTTTGCTGATTTTGGAGGCTCTTGATGAACTTTTGTGATAATAATTAACATAATACTTCTGAGGCATTTTTAGCCTTACCAAAAATTATTTTTCTCTGCCTCATTCTTCTTTCAGATGAAATAATAATGTTTAGCACTTAGCCGGCATCTTTCATTCAGATGGGTCCCCTGGTTCTTAAACAATTTTTCTCTCTCTACATGTGTGAATATGTGTCTACACAGAGTCATTTTAGCAATTGCCAAAATTTTCAGCAATCCCACTGGGTAGCACGTTGCAGCTGTTCAGTATTATCCAGCAAAGCTACAGTGTTTGGTTGGGGGAAAGGAGGTATAAAGAAAAAAAATTAAGAAAAAAAAAGTTTAAACTTGATGTTAATACCCTGGGAAGAATCTGGAAAGCAGAAATGTGTATATATACAAAAAGATTCGCTCATTATCTACCTACCCTTGCTTTAATATATGAGCCACGGAGTATCTGGGAGCCAGGAGGGGACTGTGAAGTGAGTTTTAAAATACCTTTGAAATATAGTACTGTCAGCAGCAGGGTTTCCTGATGCTGTACTAGGGCATCTGTTCAGCACTGACATAAAGCAATATATGCCACTTCATTGAATTAGCGATGTACTTTCTGTAGCATGCTGTGTATTTCTTAGAGGTCTCACTCAGGACTGGTCGTGTCTGCTGTCTAGGTTTTAGAAGCTGAAAAGTAACCGTGATTAGCCATTCAGATTTCATCTGAAAAGAAATAAAATCATTTAATTGCTTTAAAATATGTGTACACTCACAGCATTGGTGTAACTGGAATTTGAAAAGTGATGACTGCTTTCTCCAGTAAATAGTGTAGTACAGGGCACACAGTAGGTACCACCTATTAAATAAGTAAATGAAAACATTGAATTCCTGATGATAATAGCCCTCATATTTATATGATGGTAATTACTTTTCAACACACTTTCATAGATAATTTGATCTCATTGATATTTTACTGAATTTAATCTGATATGGTTAACATCGTAAGAATTCAATGTAAGAAATACATCAGTAAGATGACTTACATTTCTCTTTGGCAAGCCATTAATCACACTCCTAGATGGATTAAACTTCTAAGTCCTGGCCTACTCACACTGCATTCTGTGAAAAACTGCCTGACTTAGAGGCTTTGTCTCCTGTGAAGCCCAATTTTTAGCCATGTGATCGTTTTACATTTTGTTGGCTTTCAAACCAGCTTCACAGGCCTAAGGTGAACCTCAGCAGTAGGGATCTCACCAAAGGGCAGCCATTACACAGGCTAGCCAGTAATGTATGACCTGTACCTTCATTTCCAAAGAGAAGTTGAATCAGGCAGATTTTCTCTTAAGAATTGTTTTTTCTTTTTTTGAGACAGGATCTCACTTTGTCACCCAGGCTGGAGAGCAGTGGTGTGATCATGGTTCACTGCAGCCTTGACCTCCCAGGCTCACGTGATCCTCCCACCTCAGCCTCCCTAGTAGCTGGGACTACAGGTGCACATCACCATACCTGGCTAAATTTTTTTTTTCTTTGTAGAGAGAGGGTTTTGCCATGTTGCCCAGGCTGGTCTTGAACTCCTGGGCTCAAGTGATCTGCCCACTGTGGCTTCCCAAAGTGCTTGGATTACAGGTGTGAGCCACTGAGCTCAATCTTCTCTTAAGAATTTGCAGTTAGTGGCTGGGTGCAGTGGCTCACACCTATAATCTCAGCACTTTAGGATGCCGAGGTGCATAGATCACTTGAGGTCAGGAGTTCGAGACCAGCCTGGCCAATATGGCGAAACCCTGTTTCTGCAAAAAATACGTAGTTTTATAGAGATGGAGTCTCCCTATGTTTCTCCGATTGGTCTCGAACTCCTGAACTCAAGTGATCCTCCTGCCTCAGCCTCCCAAAGTACTGAAATTATAGGCATGAGCCACCGCACCCAATTCCAACTCTTTAATTACATGATTGGTTCCTTTGGCAACCAGCCCCCATCCTGAGCTTTCTAGGGACCCACCAAGAGTCACCTTAGACTCACCCCTATTATTTAGAAAATTCCAGGGGTTTGAAAAGCTTTGTGCCAGGAACCCAGGACTGAAACCAAATATATATTTCTTATTATATCATAATATCATGTAATTGATATTATGGTATTGGGAAGAATAAACAAGCTATTACCTTGAAAGATGCTTTGAACTTTCTATATGACCTGGGTCCTTTTTTCTTATTCATCATAGTGCTTAGGTGCTACTCATTATATGGTTTACATCAGGTTCTTTGCACTCTAAGAGCTTATATTCCAACTCAGCTGGTTATTTGTTAAGGTTTTACCTTAGATTTTTTTTTCTTTTTTACCAGAATCTTCATTGGTTCTGTCAGTCTTTCTCTGGTTGGTTTTCTAGACAGGCCTACCTGCAGGTCTTGCATTCAGAGAAATTTGGGTCCAAGAGTGATATCCTCTTATTTCTGAGTTTAGGTTTATGCCAGGGGCTCCTGGATCTAACATTTTGGGGAATGAAAAAAAAAAAGCATGCTGGGTCTTTCAAACTCTGTCAAACATTCCTGTCTAAATATTTCACGGGCACCTCAAGAGCATTCGAAAATACAGCTGATCCTGCAACAACTGAGGTGTTAGATGTGTCCACCCCTGTGCAGCTGAAAATCCATGTATAACTTTTGACTCTAAAATACTTAACTGCTAATAGCCTACTGTTGTCAGGAAGCCTTACCAATAACAATCAGTTGATCAACATATATTTTCTATGTTATAAATATTATATACCATATTCTTAAAGTAAGTACAGAAAAGGAAATGTTATTAGGGAAAATCATAAGGAAAATAAAATATATTTACTATTCCATTAAGTGGAAGTAGATTATCACAAAGGTCTTCACCTTTATATTGTCTTCGCATTGAGTAGGTGGAGGAGAAGGAAGAAGAGGGCTTGGGCTTGCTGTCAAAGGGAAGGGAGAAGTGGAAGAAAATCCATGTATAAGTGGACCTTCACGGTTCAGGGGTGTTTAAGGGTCAACTGTGTGTGCAGTGGTTTGGAGGTGAGATGGAAGAAGGCTTATAGATCAAATGTGGGGACCCATAAATAGTACAGGATGTGCAGAGAGTAAAGAATGTGAGGAGTAAGGAGGAGAACAGAGGCTAAAATGTTTGTTTCTGTGGTAATTTGTTCCCTGACAATTTAACTAAACTGGAACTGTGTTCCTTAGTATTATTTTCATGGTATGGTTCCTGCAAGGTTTGGGTTAACTACAAGATAAATTTATTATTTTATTTAAAAAAATTTCTTATTTTAAAATTTTGTGGGTATATAGCAGGTACATATATTAATGGGGTGTATGAGATATTTTGATACAGGCATACAATGTGTAATAATCACCTCAGGGTAAATGGGGTATCCATCTATCCTTTCTTTGTGTTGCAAACAATCCAGTTATACTCTTTAAGTTATTTTAAAATGTACAGTTATTTTTGACTATACTCTCCATGTTGTGCTATCAAATACTAGATCTTATTTATTCTATCTAACTATATTTTTGTAACCCTTACCATTCCTTCTTCCCCCACCCCCCTCCCACTATTCTACTCTATCTCCATGAGTTCAATTGTTTTAATTTTTAGCTTCCGCATGTGAAGTTTGTCTTTCTGTGCCTGGCTTATTTCACTTAACATAATGACCTCTAGTTCCGTCCATGTTGTTGCAAATAACAGGATCTTATTCTTTTTTATGGCTGAATTGTGCTCCATTGCATATAAGTACCACACTTTGTTTATCCATTTATTTGTTGATAAGATGCTTAGGTTGCTTCCAAATCTTGGCTATTGTGAATAGTGCTACAATAAACACAAGAGTTCAGATATCTCTTTGATATACTGATTTCCTTTCTTTTGAGCATATTCCTAACAGTGAGATTGCCGAATCATATGGTAGCTCTATTTTTAGTTCTTTGAGAAATCTCCAAAATGTTTTCCCCAGTGGTTGTACTAATTTATATTCCCACCAACAGTGTACAATGGTTCCCTTTCCTCCACATCCTCACTAGCATTTATTATTATGTGTCTTTTGTATAAAAGACATTTTACCTGAGGTGAGATGATGTCTGGTAGTTTTGGTTTGCATTTCTCTGATAATCAATGATGTTGAACACCTTTTCATACACTTGTTTGCCATTTATATGTCTTTTTTAAAAAAATTTTACTTCAAGTTCTAGGATACATGTGCAGAATGTGCTGGTTTGTTACATAGGTATACATGTGCCATAGTGGTTTGCTGCACCTATCAACCTGTCATCTAGGTTTTAAGCTCTGCATGCATTAGGTATTTGTCCTAATGCACTCCCTCCCTTTCCCCCACTTACCCTCTGACAGGCCCCAGTGTGTGATGTTCCCCTTTCTGTGTCCATGTGTTCTCATTGTTAACTCCCACTTATGAGTGAGAACATTTGGTGTTTGGTTTTCTGTTACTGTGTTAGTTTGCTGAGAATGATGGTTTCCAGCTTCATCCATGTCCCTGCAAAGGGCATGAACTCATTCATTTTTATGGCTGCATAGTATTCCATGGTGTATATGTGCCACATTTTCTTTATCAAGTCTATCATTGATGGACATTTGGGTTGGTTCCAAGTCTTTGCTATTATAAATAGTGCTAAAATAAACATATGTGTGCATGTGTCTTTATAGTAGAATGATTTATAATCTTTTGGGTATATACACAGTAATGGGATTGCTGGGTCAAATGGTATTTCTGGTTCTAGATACTTGAGGAATCACCACACTGCCTTTCACAATGGTTGAACTAATTTACACTCCCACTAACAATGTAAAAGCATTCCTATTTCTCCATATCTTCCCCAGCATCTGTTGTTTCCTGACTTTATAATGATTGACATTCTAATTGGCATGAGATGGTATCTCATTGTGGTTTTGATTTGCATTTCTCTAATGACCAGTGATGATGAGATTTTTTTCATATATTTGTTGGCCACATAAATGTCTTCTTTTGAGAAGTGTCTGTTCATACCTTTCGGCCACTTTTTGATGGGGTTGTTTTTTCTTGTAAATTTATTTAAGTTCCTTGCAGTTTCTGGATTTTGCCAACATTTTTTCCCATTCTCTAGGTTGCCTGTTCACTCTGATGATAGTTTCTTTAGCTGTGCAGAAGCTCTTTAGTTTACCTAGATCCCATTTATCAATTTTGACTTTTGTTGCAATTGCTTTTGGTGTGCCTTCTTTTGAGAAATGTCTGTTTGGATATTTTGCCCATTTTTAGATTGGATTATTAGACTTTCCTGCAGAGTTATTTGTGCTTTTTAAAATATTCTGGTTATTAATCCCCTGTCTGATGGATAGTTTGCAATTTTTTTCTCCCATTCTGTGGGTTGTCTCTTCTCTGTGTTGTTTTCTTTGCTGTGCAGAAGGTTTTTAGCTGAACGTAATCCCATTTTTCCATTTTTTCATTGGTTGCCTGTGCTTGTAAAGAAGTCTTTGCCCAGTCCAATGTCCTAGAAAGTTTCTCTAGTGTTTTCTTTTAGTAGTTTTATAGTTTTAGGTCTTAGAGTTAGGTTTTTAATCCATTTTGATTTGTTTTTTTATATGGTGAGAGATAAAGGTCTAGTTTCATTCTTCAGCATATCAATATCCAGTTTTCCCAGTACCATTTATTGAAGAGGCTGCCCTTTCTCTGATGTATGCTTTTGGCACCTTTGTTGAAAATGAGTTCCTTGTAGATGTTTGAATTTATTTCTGGATTCTCTATTCTGTTCTATTGGTCTATGTGTCTGATTTTATGCCAGCACCATGCTGTTTTGACTACTACAGTTCTGTAGCATAATTTGAAGTTGGATAATGCGATTCCTCCAGTTTTGTTATTTTTGTTCAGGATAGCTTGGTCTATTCTGGGTCTTTTGTTGTTCTGTATAAATTTTAGGATTGTTTTCGCTATTTCTGTGAAGAATGTCATTGGTATTTTGATAGGGATTGCATTGACTCTGTAGACTGCTTTAGATAATATGGACATTTTAATAATATTTATTCTTGTAATCTGTGAACATGAACTATCATTTCATTTATTGTGTCCTCTTTAATTTCTTTCACCAATATTTTATAGTTTTCATGTAGAGATATTTTACTTCTTTTGTTAATTCCTAGGTATTTTATTTTACTTGTAGCTATTGTAAATGAAACTATTTCTTGGTTTTTTTTTTTCAGATTGTTCACTGCTGGAATATAGAAATGCTGCTGACTTTAGTACGTTGATTTTGTACCCTGCAACTTTACTGCATTTTTTTTTCAGTTCTAATGGTTTTCTTGTGGAGTTTTTAAGTTTTTCCAAATATAAGATCGTATCATCTGTAAACGAGGATAATTGACTTTTTCCTTTCCAATTTGGATATCCTTTCTTTCTGTTTTCTGATTACTCTAGCTAGGACTTCTAGTACTATGTTTAGTAACAGTGGTGAAAGTGGGCATCCTTGTCTTGTCCCAGATCTGGGAAGATTTTCCCCATTCAATATAATACTAGCTGTATCATATATGACTTTTATTGTGTTGAGGTATGTTCCTTCTATACCCAGTTTTATGAGTTTTTTTTTAAATCATGAAGGGATGTTTAATTTTATCAAATGATTTTTCAGCATTATTTGAAATGATCATATAGTTTTTGTCCTTCATTCTGTTGATACAATATATCACCTTGTTTGATTTACATATGTTGAACCATTCTTGCATCCCAGGGATAAATCCCACTTGATTATGATGAATAATCTTTTTAGTGTGTTGTTGAATTAGATTTGCTTGTATTTTGTTGAGGACTTTTGCATCAGTATTCATCAGGGATATTGGCCAGTAGCTCTTTGTTGCTGTGTCTTTGTCTGTTTTTGGTATCAGGGTAATACTGGCACTGTAGAATAAGTTTGGCAGTATTGCCTCCTTTTCTACTTTTTGGAATGGTTTGAGTAGGATTGGTCTTAGTTCTTCTTTTATGTTTGGTAAAATCCATCAGTGGAGGCACAGGGTTCCAAGCTTTCCTTTGCTGGGAGACTTTTTATTATGGCTTTGCTCTTGTTACTCGTTACTGGTCTGTTCAGGTTTTGGATTTTTTCATGGTTCAGTTTCAGTAGGTTGTATGTGTCTAGAAATCCATTTCTTCTAGGTTTTCTGACTTACTGGCATATAGTTGCTCATAGTAGCCTCTAATAATTCTTTGATTTGCTGTGGTATCAGTTGTAATGTCTCATTTTTTGTCTCTGATTTTATTTATTTGGGTCTTTTCTCTTTTTTCTTAGTCTGGCTAAAGGTTTGTTGATTTTGTTTATCTTTTAAAAAAACCAGCTTTTTGATGTGTTGATCTTTTGTATTGTTTTACTCATTTCAATTTCATTTATTTCTGTTCTGATCTTTATTTATTTTTTCTACTAATTTTGGCTTTAGTTTGCTCTTGCTTTACTAGTTCCTTTAGATACACCATTAGGTTATCTATTTGAAATTTTTCTTCTGTTATGACATAGGCACTTACGACTTTAAATTTCCCTCTTAGTACTGCTTTTGCCGTATCCCATATGTTTTGGTATGTTGTGTTTTCATTATCATTTGTTTCAAGAAATTTTTCAATTTCCTTAATTTCTTCATTTACTCACTGGTCACTCAGGAGCATATTATTTAATTTCCATGTGTTTGTATTATTTCCAAAAATTCCTCTTGTTATCGATTTCTAGCATTATTACATTTTGGTCATAGAAGATGCTTTATACTATTTGAATTTTTTGAATGTTTTAAAACTTGTTTTGTGGCCTAACATATGGTCTATCTTTGAGAATTATCCATGTGCTGAGGAGAAGAATGTATATTCTGCAACTGTTGGATGATATGTTTTGTAAATATCTATCAGGTCCGTTTGTTTTATAGTGCCGATTAAGTCCAACGTTTCTTCATTTTCTATTTGGACAATTTGCTCAGTACAGAAAGTGAAGTGTTGAAGTTTCTAGCTATTATTGTATTGGGGTCTATCTCTCTCTTTAAGTCTAATAATATTTGCTTTATATATCTGGGTGCTCCACTGTTGGGTACATATATATTTACAATTGTTACATCCTCTTGCTGAATTGACTCCTTAATCATTATATAATAAGCTTGTCTCTTTTGACAGTTTTGTCATGAAATCTATTTTATCTAAGTATAGCTACTTCTACTCCTTTTTGGTTTCCATTGTCATGGAATATGTTTTTCCATCCTTTTATTTTCAGTTTATGTGTGTCTTTATAGGTGAAGTATGTTTCTTGTAGGCAACAAATCATTGGGCCTTTTATTTTATTCATTCAGCCACTCTATGTCTTTTGACTGGAGAGCTTAGTCCATTTACATTCAATGCTATTATTGATAAAGTAAGGACTTTCTCTTCTCTTTTTTTTTTTTGAGACGGAGTCTTGCTCTGTCACCAGGCTGGAGTGCAGTGGTGATCTTGGCTCACTGCAATCCCCACCTCCTGGGTTCAAGTGATTCTCCTGCCTCAGCCTCCTGAGTAGCTGGGATTACAGGTGCCCGCCATCACGCCTGGTTAATTTTTGTATTTTTAGTAGAGATGGGGTTTCACCATGTTGCCCAGGGTGGTCTCGATCTCCTGACCTCATGGTCTGCCTGACTCGGGCTTCCAAAGTGCTGGGATTACAGGTGTGAACCACCATGCCTGGCTTACTCTTTCCATTTTAAAATTTGTTTTCTAGTTGTTTTGTAGTCTTCTCTTTCTTCTTTCCTTCCTTCCTGTCTTCCTTTAATTTGATCACCTTCCTTTAAGGTGATTTTCTCTCGTGGTATGTTTTAATTTCTTGCTTTCTATTTTTTGTTATCTGTTTTATGTTGTTTTTGTTTGAGGTTACCATGAGGCTTGCAAATAACATCTTATAACCCATTATTTTAAGCTAATGATAACAACGCTGGTTACATATACAAACCAACTAGCAAGCAAAGAGAAAACTTATAAGAATTCTACAATTTAACTTCATCCTCCTACTCTTTAACTTTTTTTTTTTTTTTTTTTTTTTGAGATGGGGTCTTGCTCTGTTGCCAGGCTGGAATGCAGTGGCACAATCTTGGCTCACTGCAACCTCCGCCTCCTGGGTTCAAGTAATTCCCCTGCCTCAGCCTCCTGAGTAGCTGGGACTACAGGCGTGTGCCACCACGCCCGGCTAATTTTTTTGTATTTTAGTAGAGACGGGGTTTCACCATTTTGGCCAAAATGGTCTCGATCTCCTGATCTCGTGGTCTGCCCCACTCAGCCTCCCAAAGTGCTGGGATTAAAGGTGTGAGCCACTGCACCCACCCCTCTTTAACTTTTTGTTGTTTCTATTTATATCTTATTGTATTGTCTTTGCCTTGAAAAGTTGTAGATATAATTTTTGATCAATTCATCTTTTAGTCTTTCTGTTCAAGGTATGAGTAATTTACACACCAAAATTACAGTGTTGTAATATTCTGTTTCTTTCTGTATATTTACTATTACCAGTGAGTTTTGTACCTTCAGATGATTTCTTTTTTCTCGTTAATGTCCTTTTCTTTCAGATTGAAGAATTCCTTTTAGTATTTCTTGTATTCCCACTGGCTCTGCTGGTGCTCCAGTACAGCACCAAGACTTGTACAGGAATTGCAGTCCTTGTGGCCTAGACAACCTTTCAGGTTTATGTAGGTCTCCAGAGCACTTCAGCTCATAGTGGCAGCGCTTTCTGGAACTCAGGTTCCAACTACTGTGATGGACAATTCCTTTCTGGCCAGGGTTGGTCTAATTGCTTCCTCTGTGGGTACTAGCTGAGTTTTGCCCTGTGTTGCTTTCCATTGTTACAGGGCAGCACTGAGTTCCAATGCAAAGTACCGCAATCACTGTGCTCTCTTTCCTCTAAGCACAGAGATGCTCACTCCATGCCATGCAGCCACTGCCAGATGATAGGGGAGAGGTGATGGTAGCTATTCAAAACTATCTTTTCTACCCTCTTCAGTGCCTCTTTCAGTGATATGATGTTAAACTGGGTACTGTGATAGCTCACCTGCTTTTTGGTATTTACGAAGGTGCCTTTTTTTTTTTTTTTTTTTTTGATGTGGATAGTGGTTCAGTTTGGTGTTCCCATGGGGAGAACAATTGGTGGTGGCTTCTGTTTGATCATTTTGATCTGCCATGATCTATGAGAGAAATTTAACTGAGATTTGGAAGGTGGAAGTGTAGCAGTAGCCAGATGCCTGTATAGGACCAAATGATCTACTGGCTTGTCTTAGCTGGGTTGTGTAGAGCCATAGCCAGGCCAGCTCTCTGTGCCTCCCCTCCTTTTCTCTGTCTCTACCCTCCTTCAGCTTTTCTGAATCCTGTCTTTGGCTTTGTGGTAAAGGATATCTACTATTCTTCATGTCACTCACACCAAGAAGGAGGGAGGTGGTGGGAGAAATGAGGGTTCTAGTTTGTCCTTGTTTATTCCATTTTGTTCTCATAAGTTGCCCCTTGTTTTTGTTCTCCCCCATTTCAAACCCATATTTTCTTCTGTGCTACTGGCCCTGCAGACTTCAGGCCGAGCTCTGGAGGCAGAAGCAACAGCTTACCCAATTGCAAAGGATTTAATCTTTACAATCAATTCTTTATTCTGTGTCATTCATCATGTTTCTTGCCTGTGATTAAACCCTAACTGACATTGCTCTTATTAAACCTATTGGTTTAATTGATTAATTGATTAGTTGTGACATTAAAATTTTTCTCCACATAAGAATTTTAGACAGTGACAAAATAGACTGTTTAGCCAGTTTTAATAAATCAGCAGGATATTCTTTGCTGAAAAAAGTCCCATTTTTAAAGAAATGTTTCCTGTAGTAGAATGTCATGTCCAAGAAAGTGACTTTTGCAATAAATGATTTCTAGAGAGTTTTTTTTCAAATAATGATACTATTTATACTTTAATTGCTTTAGTAAAGAAGGTAACTTTTTTTTAAACTGGTAGTTAACTCAAAACACTTAGAGTTTTATATGGCAGCATTCAAAAGGAAGTCACTTTTCTGGATATTTGAGAGCTCTAATATAGACATTACTCTAGAGATCATGGTATTAATGATCTAATCCAAAAAATAGGTCTTCTATGTGAGTAGAAGTGGCAGCCCCAAATATATCTTTTTCGTTTTATTCACAAGGAGCTCCAAACCTAAATATTTTTAAAAAATATATTTAAATACGTAGTACACAGCCTTTTAAAACATACCTTCTAAATGTTTCTTACCTTAAAGGATACGATGAAGACAAAAAAAGTGAAAGCTAACAACAACAACAACAACAAACCACACTGTCTTGAGTTACACATTTAAAAAAGAAAAATATTTAGTCCTAATCCCTGGTTGCAACTGTTAATCTGGTAGATAAATCAACATTCATACCCGAGGTTAATTTTTTTAAGTTAAGTTTAATTTATAGTATACACAGGCAATACTGTTTTTGAAACTGGAGACTTAGCAAACCTACTGGAAACAGGTTGTGGTAGTGCTGTGTACACTAGAATGAACTGAATTTAATCTCGGGTAATGGGAAGCCACTGTAGTTTCTTGCACCAGAAAGTAAAATTCCAAGGAATTACTTGAGCAGGGAAGTGAATATTTCTGGAAGATTAATCCTAGGGAGCTGTGAAAGATATGTCAAAAATTGTATTTGAGTACAATAGTAATAAATATCTATTAAAATATTCTCTCTATATTAAAAATAATACATTTTCATTAGAGAAATTTGAAAAACTCAGAGAAGTAGAAAGAAGAATATTACAAAACTCATAAAATGTCATAATTGAATCCCAATGTTAGCATTTTGGCATATTTTCTTCTCACCTTTTTTCCTGTTAGGGTAACAAAGTTTTAAACATGATGTGTATATACTTTTTATCATAATGTCTTCTCATCCTTGAAATTTATAAGATTCATAATGAGATTTTTTATAATGTTTAAATTCATTAATACTTTTGAGCATATATTTTTACCTTTTTAAAAACAAGTTTATTAAGGTATAATTTTATACAATAAACTTCTCAAATATATCCACTTCTGAAATGGATAATTTGATGAGTTATGACAGAAATATATATATATCCATGAAACTGCCGTCACAATCAAGATATTGAACATTTCCATTATCTCCAAAGGTTTTATCATGCCTCATTACAATCATCCTTCCCCAGGCAGCCACTGATCTATTTTATAACTTTGTGTGTATTTTCTGGTATTTTATATAAAAGGAATCTTACAATATATACTCTATTTTTTGGTCTGGCTTCTTTCATTCAGCATAACACATTTGAGACTCATCTATATTGTTACATGATCAGTGGTTTGTTCCTTTTTATCACTGAGTGGTATGCTGTTGTACAGGCATATAATTTTCTTCATAAAATGTGCACAGAACAACAAAACCACTGTGAGATTCAGATACCAGGCACCTCCTGTATTTTAGCCTCCATACATCTAATTCGTAGTGCCTCTGAATCAAATTAATGCCTCACCATAATTGCATATTCTTATAAGCCATATAATTAAGGTCACCTGCAAGTGGTAAAAATCCCTAATGTTCAATGAATTTATTCATACATTTAAGATATGTAAGTTTTCCAGGCCTTCTTCTAGGTACTTGAGATACATCAGCAAACCAAATAACTTTTTTTGTTCAGATCATATTGTCATAGGAGAAGATAGGAGATTTTGTTTACAATAAATAGTAAACATAAACGTGTAAGTCATCCAATTTGTTAGAAGGTGATAAGTTCTGCATAAAAAGGAAAAAATAGAGCTGGGAACAACAGATTGGGAGTGCTGGGTATATGTTTGTGGGATAGAAGTAGTTGCAAGATTAAATAGAGTGATCAGGTTAGGCCTCAGTGAGATCTAAACGTAAAGTCTGATAATGTCAAGGATCTACATTTTATGGTATTATCTATGTAATTCTTTGTTAATATTATATGACTGTAATATTCAATTGAGTGATTATATCATACTTTGCTTATTCAGAGCTACGGTGGAACATTTAGATTACTTCTAATTTTCACAACTGTATTTAATGGTGCTATAAACGTTATGAGCAAAGTTTTTGAACTGTACATGTTTGCAGGCATGGTGGCACATGTCTGTAGTCCCAGCTTTTTGTGAAGCTGAGGTTGGCAGGATCTTGAGCCCAGGAGTTAATTCTTGCAACATAACAAGATGCTGTCTCTAAAAAAAGAGAAATCATTGAATTGTCCATTGTTTACTTAGCATGGATTTAGAAAAGTAAAGTTACTGTAACAAAAGATATGAACTTTTTTCTTTTAAAGTTTTAGGTTTTTAAATGTTGAGTCATTATTGTATTCCTAATATAAATCCTCCTCAGATATGATATATCCTTGTTTCCTAAAAACACTGCTAGATTCAATTTGTTAATATTTTATTTAAGATTTTCCACACATTTAAAAAATAAAATTGACTTGTAATTTATTTTCTTGTGCTTTTTTTTAAGCATTGGTACTAAGATTACTTTATCATCATAAAATAAATGGGCAGCTTCTCCTCTATTTTTCTATTCTCTGGAATCGTTTTGTATAGAGAGTTTTGTTTCTTTGAAATCTTCTGTTCTGGATCTTTGTGGTGCAAGAGGTTCCTTCCAGGTTGTTTATATGTATTTGAATTTTTTATTTCACTTATGCTTTCTTATGGTTGTTTCCATGGGTTTTCTAATTAATTGAGCTGAATGCTTACCTATTAAAAAAACTGGACCTCAGGTGCCCATGATAGAGTTGGTTATATTTTTGGTATTAGGACAAGTGAACATCACCAGGCAAGAACTTCACCCATTGAATTGCTTGTTGGTTCCCTTCACATACCATCTTTAATACTCCTTTATCCCTCCAACATACACTCCTATGTATTTAATGTATTCCTTCTATTCATTGTTCATACACTTACATATTTTTGTTCTTTAAAAGTATATAGTATTTTAAAGTATGTAGCATTTTTTAATGCTTTTAAAATCTACATAAATGATTTCTGGCCAAGACAGAATAACAGGAATAACGGCCTGAAACAAACAAAACAAAACTAGACAGAATAGTTTAGCCAATGGTTTTCCAGATAATGGAAATCATACAATATAAAAGTGATCCCTGAAAGATGGGGAAAAAATGAGGTGATCCCTATGATTTGCCCAGCTTTCCAGACCATGGTACAGAACATGGGGAACCCAGGAGGGTCCTGGAAGACTCCCTGAGTGGAAGAGATGGAACTGAGAATCTGGGGAGACCAAGGTGGCCTGAGTTTGCAGAACAGAGTATTAGAGAGGAGTGAGCCACAAAAATAAAACAAAACAAAACAAAACACAGAACCCTGGGAGGGTGTCCTTGAGTATTTAGCAGAGTATTGATCAGGGCATATGTGTGAAGGAATTACCTGAGACCAGAGAAAGAATCATCAAAAATAATTGCATAGCCGCACACACAAAAATACCTGGGAATACATCTAACCAAGGAGGTGAAAGATCTCTACAAGGAAAACTACAAAACACTGCTGAAAGAAATCATAAATGACGCAAACGGAAACACATTCCATGCTCATGGATTAAAAGATCGGTGTTGTTAAAAATGGCCTTACTGCCCAAAGCAATCTACAGATTCAATGCTATTCCTATCAAGCTACAAATGCCATTCTTCACAAATTAAAAAAAACCCTATTCTAAAATTCATATGGAACCAAAAATGAGCCCAATTAGCCAAAGTAATCCTAAGCTAAAAGAACAAAGCCAGAGGCATCACATTATCCAACTTCAAACTATCAGGCTACGGTACCCCAAATAGGGTGATACTGGTCCAAAAACAGACACAAGGAACACTGGAACAGAATAGAGAATGCAGAAATAAAGCTACACACCTACAGCCATCTGATCTTTGACAAAGTCTACAAAAATAAGTAATGAGAAGAGGAATCCCTATTTAATAAATGGTGCTGGGATAGCTGGTTAGCCCTACTCAGAAGAATGAAACTGGACCTGTACCTTTCACCATATACAAAAGTTAAGATGAATTAAAGATTTAAATGTAAGACCTCAAACTATAAGAATCCTGGAAGGAAACCCAGGAAACACCACTCTGGACATTGGCTTTGGGAAAGAATTTATGAGCAAGTCCTGAAAAGCAATTGTGACATAACTGAAAATTGACAAGTGGGGCCTAATTAAACTAAAGAGCTTCTGCACAGCCAAAGAAACGATCAACAGAGTAAACAGGCAGCCTACAGAATGGGAGAAAATATTTGCAAACTATGAATCTGACAAAGGTCTATTATCCAGAATCAAAGGAACTTAAACAATTAAACAAGCAAAAACCAAATAAGCCTATTAAAAAGTAGGCAAAAGACATGAACACTTCTCAAAAAGAAGACATAGAAGCAGCCAACAAACATATGAAAAAATGTTCTTTCTCACTAATCATCAAAGAAATGCAAATCAAAACCACAATGAGATACTTACACCAGTCAGAATGGCTATTATCAAAACGTTAAAAAATAACAGATGCTGGTAAAGCTGCAGAGAAAAGAGAATGCTTATACACTGTTGGTGGGAATGTAAATTAGCTCAGCTACTGTGGAAAGCAGTTTGGAGATTTCTCAAATAACTTAGAACAACCATTTGGCTCAGCAATCCTATTACTAGGTATATGTCCAAAAGAAAATAAATCATTCTATTAAAAAGACACATGTACTCATATGTTCATTGCAGCACAATTCACAATAGCAAAGACATAAAATCAACCTAGGTGCCCATCAATGGTGGATTGGATGAAGAAATGTGGTACATACACACCATGGACTATTATGCAGCCATGATAAAAATGAAATCATGTCATTTGCAGCAACATGGATTCAGTTGGAGGCATTATCCTGAGCAAATTAACACAGAAACAGAAAACCATGTGCATGTTCTCACTTACAAGTTGGAGCTAAGCAATGAGTACTCATGGACATAAAGATGGCAACAATAGACACTAGAGGAGTAAGGGAGAGAAGGGGGCAAGGGGTTGAAAAACCATTAGGTACTATGCTCACTACTTGAGTGATGAGATCACTTATATTCCAAACCCCTGCATCACACAATATACGTACATAACAAACTTGCATACATATCTCCTGAGTCTAAAATAAAATTTGAAATGTATATATATGTACAGAGAGACATTGTGTGTATATATATATGTGTGTGTATATATATACACACACACAGACATTGTATAGTGGGTCCTGGAAGACTCCCTGAGTGCAAGAGATGGAACTGAGAATCTGGGGGGACTAAGGTGGCCTGAGTTTGCAGAACAGAGTATTAGGAGTGAGCTGCAAAAAAAACAGAACCCTGGAAATGTGCAGAGGATGCCCTTGAGTATTTAGCAGAGTATTGATCAGAGCATATGTATGAAGGAATTACCTGAGACCAGAGAAAGAATGTTCTTACCACCTAGTCTGATAAACTTCTACATTTGCAGCACATTGAGTACTCGGAAGGGTCTTGCCTCAGTAGTGGGAAATAATTAGCCCTAGAATAATTGTGGTACCATTCCTGCCTAACACATCTTAAAAGCAAGAAATGATCAGTGTTTAGCCATAACTTAACTGATAAACTGTATTCCAGATTTGCCAACTGATTTGTTCTGTATTCCAGAACAAAGCTCAACAACATTCATAGAAACACAAAAAGATCCAGTACCCAGCAAGATAAAATTGGATACTGAGCATTTAATCCAGGATTACCAAGCATGCAAAGAAGCAGGACAACATGATCCATCATCATGCAATTGAAACTAACAAGAACTGACACAGATGTTAAATTTTTTTAGACAAGGACATTAAAGCAATGATTAAACTACGTCATATGTTCAAAAACTCAAGTAGAGGTATAAATAATATTTTTTAAAAGGCTAAGTTGAACTTTTAGGGTTTAAAACTAAAATGTGTGGAATTTTAAAAACCGCTGTATGGGGATTAATGGCAGATGACATATCACAGATGAAAAGATTAGTGAATATGACAATATTGCTGTAGAAACGCTCCAAAAGAAAACATTCAGAGATTTAACAGGGAGATTACAAAAATGAAAACAGAAAGAGTTGGCTGTGAGACAACTTCAGGTAGCCTAATATACATGTAATTCGGGTCTCTAAAGTAAACAGGGGTGGGGGAAATAGAAGGAACATTTGGAGAAATAGTGGCTGAAAAATTTCCAAATTTAATGTACCCTATAAACCCACTGACCTAAACATTTCAAAGAACGCTAGTGAAAGAAAGAGGAAAAAAGAATACCACTAAGGCACATCATAATTAAACTGCTCAAAACCAGTGTTAAAGAGGAAATATTAAAAGCAGCCAGAGAATATGTCACATGTGTACAGAGGAACAAAGAATAGGATGAAAACAGATTTCTCTCTGAAAACAGTGTAAATCTTTAAGGTCCTGAAAGAAAAAAGTCCACTTGGAACTCTATACCCAGCAAACATATCTTTCAAAATCAAAGAAAAATTAAAGAGGATTTGAAACATCTGAAAGCTAAAAAAATTTATCACCAGCAGACCTGCACTAAGTGGAATGCTCAAAGAATTTATTCAGGTGGAAGGAAAATGCTACCATATAAAAATATGGATATACAAAAAGAAACAAAGAATATTGGAAGTGGTAAAATGGGTAAAAATGAGTTTTTCTTATTGTGTAGATGCCTTAAACTATAATTAGATATCCATTCTCATAGTGATGAATGCCTAGATTGTCTCCAAACCTTCCTAACACTCTGTAAATTGTAATAAGCCTTCTCTTATGTGTCTATGCAGGGTTCCCCTAAGGATGTATACTTCTTAGAAAGCTAGAATTAGAGAGGAACTTCTGGATAACAAAAGTTCTTTGCCAAAAGCCTTTGTATGTAACAGAGAAACTTTGGATACATTTTACTTTATGTTGGGAAAGAGAGAAGCAGGACCACTTTCACTGCTACTGTCCAACACAGCACTACAGGTCCTGGATACTGCAATCAGTTAAAAAAATATATACACAAGACTTTTATTGGATAGGCAAAATTTTCAGATAAAATAATTATTTCATAGACAACCCAAGAGAGGTCAGTAAGATTGTTGAATGCAAAATCCAATAATAGTTCTCTATTCCAGTAAAGACCAATTAAAAATGTAATAGATACTATTTGCAATAAAACAAAAACTATAAAGCACTTAGGTGATTTACTAATAAAGGTTGCACAAGATCCTCATGGAAAATATTTTAAAAATTTCTATTAAGGGACATGAAATAATAATAAATGGAGAGATATAGTCATTGTTAGAACATGTTAAAGATTACGTTTTAGACTGGGCGCGGTGGCTCACGCCTGTAATCCCAGCACTTTAGGGGGCTGAGGTGGGCGGATCATGAGGTCAGGAGTTTGAGACCAGCCTGGCCAACATGGTGAAACCCTGTCTCTACTAAAAATACAAAAATTAGCCAGGCGCGGTGGTGGGTGCCTGTAATCCCAGCTACTCGGGAGGCTGAGGCTGAGGTAGAATTGCTTGAACCCGGGAGGCGGAGGTTGCAGTGAGCCAAGATCACACCGCTGCCCTCCAGCCTAGGTGATAGAGAAAAAGAAAAACAAAAGTCTTACCCAGGTTACTCTATAAATTCAATGCTGAGGTAATTTTGAAAAAGAACAGAAGTGCAGGATTGCCATATTAGATATGAAGAAATAATGCAAAGCCATAGTTATAAAGATAGTATTGTACTGGTATTGGGCCCAGCAAATAGGCTAATGGCAGTATAAGAGGGGAAAGGATTGATTATTTAGAATAAGGTCTCCAGAGAGATGAACAACTAAACCGAGGAAAATATAGGAGAATATCTTCATGACCATGGAATGTGAAAGGATTTGTCAAATGAAACAAAAAAGCACTAGGGGCAACATTAATGGATTTACCTACATCAAAATCAGAGATTTCTGTCAATTGAAAAACACCACAATGGATGAAATACTGGGGGTAATATTTGTAAACTAACAAGGAAAGTTCAAAAAATGCGATAGAAAAATGAGCACAGGGTATGGCTATTAAGTACAGGAAATATTCTCAAACTCACTCTTACTCAGAAAAATACAAATTAATATGTGACTGCAAACAACTTCATACCACTGAACAAAAATGGAAAAACTAGATATTATCAACTGCTAGTGAAGATAAAGGGAGACTTGAAACTTTATGTACTCCTGGTGGATTGTAAACTGGAGACACCATTTTATAAAGCAATGTGGCAAAAATAAGAATTTAGGTCTTTTTCTACATACTGACAAATAGTTTTCCCAAAAGTACAGTGCCTTACGATGTCTGTTTCTATTGTTTCTATATTTCTTGTACTACTTAATGTAATTTTTTTTTTTTTTTTTTTTTTTTGAGACAGAGTCTTCCTCTGTCACCCAGGCTGGAGTGCAGTGGCGCGATTTCGACTCACTGAAAGCTCCGCCTCCCGGGTTCACGCCATTTTCCTGCCTCAGCCTCCGGAGTAGCTGGGACTACAGGCGCCCGCCACCACGCCCGGCTAATTTTTTTGTAGTTTTAGTAGAGACGGGGTTTCACCGTGTTCTCCAGGATGGTCTCCATCTCCTGACCTTGTGATCCGCCCGCCTCGGCCTCCCAAAGTGCTGGAATTACAGGTGTGAGCCACCGCGCCCGGCCTCTACTTAATGTATTTTAAGTTTACCAAAAATTATATTGTTATTTTCATTTAATTTTTAAATTTATAGCAGTGCTATATATTTTAAATTTGTTAATGAATAGATTTTTTTAAAATTATCCCCTTTTCCCATATATCTTTTGGGAACTTTGTGTTTTCCCTTTATTGATTCACATGAGCTTTCATAAGAGTATTTTTATTTTGATATATTTGCATGAAATGATTGGATTGTTTTCAGTTGTGCTACAGTTAACAAAATGATCCTCAAATATCGGTTATTCAATGGCTGCTGTCTGGCGACAGCTCTTTTGAGATTTGCCAGGCTCTGCTCCATATCATTCTAAAATCCCAGCTCAGGGAGCAGCCCACTCTGGGACATACTTTCTTTGTGTAAAGGATAAAAATCAAGTGAACAGGTGAAAACATAATGACTCTTAAAGCTTCTGCTCTTAACTGGCATTGTTATTCCTGCTCATACATCATTAGCCAAGGCAAGGAGGGGAAGCATGTTCCCCCTACAAGGAGGCAAGGCAAGTCACATGGCAATAGGCAGGGATAGGTCATCCTCTCACTGGGAATGGAGTAACGAATGATCAATGATCAAGGACAATAATACAACCTACTATAGAGCTTATTTGCAGATGACTAATTTTTTAAAAAGAATTTAACTCCTTTTATTCCTACCCTTTAATGATGTAACAATGGAGTAAGAGCGTCTCAGGGGAAGGATATTTTAACAATAAGAATTAACCCTGGAAAGGTATCCTGTTGTAACTTTTGGAGTTTGCAGCCTGCGCTACCTTAAGTTGTTTAATCAAGTGGGGAATGTGGGAAGCCTGCTGGTTTGCCTGCTGGAGACTGTGAGGCTAGCTGGCTGTCTCTAGTAGTACTAGTAGTTAACAGCACTTGAAAAAAAGAGCTGGGGTTTCATAGCCAAAAAAGAGTTTTGAAGGCTGAAGGGTTATACCAGTTTTGAGAAACACTGGCATTCTCATTCTTTCAGGGGGCACTGCTTTGGGAGAACATTCATGCGCCCAACAGGAACCAGATCAGAAAGTCAAGTCAGGGACATTTGGGTATAGGATTAAAAATTAAAAGAGTACAGCCTCAAGATACAAGCAGTCCCCTTTCCAGTCTCCACCTTTTCTGATTAATGAAGTTCTAATGTGAGTGAATCTGACCTCCTTACAATACTCTTGCACTCTCTCTCCAACAACTGAAAAAGCAGTTGTCACATAAAATCAGCCCAACCCTGAGCTCTAAGTTCACACATCAAACCTTGGTGTTTGAGGTGATTGTTTATTTCAATAAGTATTTATGGATGCATTCACATGCCAGCTCTGTGCTGGGTGCTGGGGACACGCAGATGAATAGAACCTGTGCCCTAACAAGCAGACATGAACACAGAGAATTATCTTTCAGGACAGACTGATAGACACTACAAGACAGCCCAGAGCAAGGATGTGAATTCAGCCTGGAGGAGGGTGGGTCAAGTGAAATTTTGTAGAAAAGGGGACCTGCGACCTGGATCTTGATGAGGAGAAGTTTTCCAAGCACAGAGATAGCATGTACACAGGCATGGAGATGGAAAGAGAAGGGACGATAGAAAAGACCTCCATGTGGCCAGAGCAGAGAGGACATGGTGGAGGCAGGGGAAGTGGTGTAAGATGAGTCTGCAGAATCGGTGCCATGATGAAGAATATGAATTTTTATTTTGTGGCCAGTGGGGAGACATTGAAAGCTTTTGTAAGTATACATACAGTACCAAAGCACAGAGATTCATGCTTCAGAAAATAGCTATTGACAATTTAAAGATGAATTAAAGAAATAAGAGTTTGAAAGTTGTGAAACCAGTAGGAAGTTAATGCCATCATCCAGACAAAATTAGTGAGTCCTAGTGAAAGCAGTAACAGTGTAAGTAGAATGGAGGGTAACAGATTCAAGCTGTATTTCAGAGGAGAAATCGACATAGTTTGACAACAATTTGAAAGTGGTGGGTAATACAGGAATCAACAATGGCTGAGATTGCTGTGTCGGGTAGAAGAGGGAGAGATTACAAGAAGAGCAGGTTTGGAAGAGAGGGAGGAGGTGCTGGGGAAGATAATATCACTGTACCAGAAGAAGTCCTATTATAAGATGCCTGGGCTAGAACATTAAGCACCCAACAGTTTTTCAGTATACTATGTATTTTTCCATCTGTTGGTTGAATTTCAAGATGGACTAAAATTACATTAACATCACAGCATTTATGCTGAACTTGTGGGGTAATGACTGATATAGAGGTCCATCACTGGGCCACTAGGTGTCCCTTGTTGCATGCCAAAGGCTGCCCATCTCCTGACCCATACTATAATGAGTGTGCTGGGTTCTCTATGGAATATTTAAGTAACTTACTGTCCTGGTTGCTCCTGGGCTAGGTACACTGCTGGGACTACGAAAGCTGCAGCATCCCTTTTCTGACAACAGCTGCCTCTCCTTTCACCTCCTCCTCAGCTTTTCCCTGGGTGGCTGTTCTATATGCAGAGAGATAGCAAGCACTGGAGATAGGTGATGTTGCTGACTGCAAGGGGAGCAAACTGGTTTCTCTAGGCTTTTGTTTGTGCTGGCAGCTAAAGTTGTTAATTCACTCCTTGCTCTAATTAAAATTAGTTTGCCTGGTCCTGGGTCAAATTTTTCTTAGGAATAAACATTAATATCTTATGATGGAACTGACAGGTTTTCTTAATTGTTACTGGCACAGGCTGATCTCTGGTTTCCTTCTCTCCAGGATTTGGATTAGAAAAGTAACCATAGTTTGAAAATTCAAATCAAGAAACTAATTTCATTGTCCTTGGTCTGTTTTTTTCCCCCTAAGTTCATTTCTGGACACTTTCCAGAAAGAGGGCTGGTCCCTATTAGGCTTCATCCTACAAATAGGGGTGTCCTGACATACCTGCAGAATCGCTCTATTGCCCCGGCTGGAGAAAAAAAAGTTGGAGGCAAGGGATTACAGAAGAAAACGCGGGAAAGGAGCATAAGAAGTAGGATAAGGAAGAATGAGATACATGGAAAAATCCACGCCAGCCCTGTTACTTAGGGATAGAAGCAGATTTATTTTCAGCTTCAGGCCCTCTCAGTTGCATGGTCTCCTTCCAAGTTCCTAAGAGGGGCCCTAGCAATGCATTGCCATCAATATATATTTTTGCAAAACTTTATTTGTATAGTATATTTTTTTTTCTCAAAGAGGGTCTTCAAATTGTATAAGCTGTAGGCTCCACACAACCTGAATTTACTCTTAAAAAGAAGAGAAAGGGAAAAACTCCTAATACGTAGGAGTTCTTTGAACTCCCTTTATGCTATATGTTAACTTTATCTGGCTCACTGACATTCTGCAATTCTAAATGCAGCTATTTTCAAAGTAGGGAAATTTGGGGGCTGGGTGCAGAGGAGGAGGTGGGGGAGTGGGAGACAAATTTCAGCTGGACAATTTGATTGTGTAATTTGCATAATTCCAGATAAACAAATGATGAAAGCAATGACTAATAGCTATTGTGATACTGCCTTAATTATTTCAAGCCAACAAAATGGTAATATGTCATTTGACGCTAGACTCTTTATGTTTGCTCTGTTTTGGATATATGTGTGAGCTTCAAAATTAGTCATCACAATATGCAAAACACTATTAAAAAAAAAAGAAAAAAGAAAAGACAAGGATGTGAGCATGAATGTAAAAATGCATCAGGCTCCAACAGAAAATCAGATGAAAACTGGCAATAAGCCCAGGGCTTGTGGGGTTTTGGACTCTAGCTCAGTCACTCAAAATTGGCACTGAAGTGTCATTTTCCAGAGGCGTAATCGGAATGACCAGGTCTCCATAGCCTCTTCAGCTTTGTCAATTCTCTTCTGTTTATTATTAATTTGTCATGTTGTTTTCAAGCATTTCTACACAATCTTTTTGTTTGAAGTACATTTCCGTTCATTACCAGTTCTGCAGAACCCCCATGAGATATGATATCACCTTTATTGACCTGGTCTTTCCATTGGTGACATGGAGACAGAATGAGATGAAGAAGCCTGCCTTAGGTCTCACATTCAATCAATACATGGGACAAAGCTCAGCAGTGGTTGGTAGCCTTGCTAGCCCTATAACTGTCTACTGGGACAACCTGCTTTCATGGTTTTTCTATAGTGTGTAAACATGTTTTTTTTTTTTTTTAACTACAAGTTATTTTTAAATAAAAGGACTAGGGAAAAATGTATTCTTAGCTGCCTCAAGTCTCTGAAAGGACTCACAAGGGCTATTTACTTGTGATAAAATACAAGTGCCTTGTGTGGATGAGATTGATGAGTAGTGTTCTCTAGACTTACCGCTGAACTCTGAGATTAAGTTTGTTCTGCCTTCATTGAGGATTTTTCTCCCTTTAGAAGCAAGCTGTTGTGCTTCCATCCAGGTCTTGGGCTGAGTTATGCTACTGGGACAGATGTGCTGCCCCTGTGGCATTTATTCTCTATGATTTTTTTTTTTGTGATCAGTACTGACATCACGGTACTGGGCAGCTCAGTAATGGATATCTTGGGGCTCGTTTTTTCCTGGAGACATCTGCTCTTCTACTTTTGCTGCATGGTTTGGTGTTGTTGTAAGTATGCTGTTCATTTGCATCAGCAGGGCTACCAATGCTCATCTTTTATTTGGACCATGAATATGTAGTGAAAGAGTCAGGTTTCAATTAATTTAGATATTTCTAAAATTTCTGAACTGTGGCTGGCTGGGGAAGGGACTATGTCTAGGCTTATTTTCAGTGCAGAATATAAGCAACTCTGTGCTATGAGGCTATATGAACATCTGCAAAATGGGCTCTTGATGGTTTTAAAAAACGTGCACTGTAATGGAACAGAAGCATAACATAACCCATTAACATTAGTGTCAGCATAACAGCCTCTGAATTGCATATTGGTGAGAAAATATTGATAGCAAAGTGTAAACAACTGCAAATGGGAAATGCAATAAAGCTCTCTTCATAGACTCCGTAATTTACAATTAAATAGGCTACATTGAAATGATATGAAGCAGAGGCATGCATATCCAAAGTAACGGGGAATTTAAATGAATGCTTGTACTTTCCCATTGACCTATAAGCAGGTGAAAATAAAAAAGAAGGAAGTAAAATGAACTGAGTGGATTCTGTGCCCAGCATATGGCTAATTAGGGTACACATAATGTTGTTAATCATAGTTTGGGATTGGATAAAACTTTCAGAGGTTAATATTCTATGTTCTGCAATTTAGTACTTTGCTGATGGCAATAAGACAATTTGTTGGAACATCTACATCCCACGGAGAGGGAATATCCAATTGAAGGGGAATATGGAGCTGACAAGCTCCTCATGATGGCTAGGAGGGTAGTCGTTGTATGGAGGAGAAAGTTCCCAGCACCTGTTTTTTTATGGCATATGTTTTTTATGGCATATGACCATGGCAAAACTCGCACCTACTGCAGCGTGTTCTCAGGCATGGTTGCTAGCTGATTGTAACATTTGTGGGAAGAAGCTTCCTCTTCCTGCACCCTAAGAAAACATTGTGATGCTTGTGACAGCAGTGTGTACTTTGGTCTCTGCAACAGGTTTCTGGACCACCTGTTATCCACTGTGA
The DNA here is from genome assembly GCF_000001405.40 of Homo sapiens. NCBI lineage: Eukaryota > Metazoa > Chordata > Mammalia > Primates > Hominidae > Homo > Homo sapiens. The sequence continues at coordinate 72,136,998 of NC_000012.12, forward strand.
CATCATAGGGCAACATCCCGGCAATAGCGAGTGAAACAGAACAGATTTTCCATTTCCTCTCTGGGAACGGTGCCCTTTGAAAAGAATAGGAAGACATTCTCAAGGTAGCAAGTAGAGGACTCAGAGTCATTTTACATTGCCTGTCCTAGGAGAAGTGGCCTGTTTTGGACCCCAAGCTTGTGAAACAGGGCATTTTGGATAGATCCATGTGTGAGACAGATTCTCATTCTAATTATGCTCCTTGTGGGCAACTGCATAGATAAGATCAGTCATAGGTTCTCTTCAAAGGATGAATGAAATGACCAGAACCATAGAGATTATTTTTGAAACCTTGAGGTTCTCAGCCTTAGTCTGGCACTTCAAGGATCCCCTATATGCTATTAATAATGTTTCCATTTTCTTTTTAGGGATCCTTGTACTACCAGACTGGGGCTGAGAGCCTTAAGGTTTGTAAATAAGCCCTGTGGTTCTGGCCATTTTACTTGTCCTTTAGAGAGAACCACTAATGCCCTTCCAACCTCATAATGATTGCAGAGAGGAATATCAACAAGGAAATCTGCCTTCAACAGAAGAGAGATTTGAGGAAAGAGAAGTTAAGAAAGGGAGTAAATATGGTGAGATCATATCTTGAAATATTAATTTTTGTGCTCTTCTTTGCTGCTCTTCAGAGTATGTGACCATTTCCTGATCAGTTAGAACTATTCTCCTTCAGGAGAATTAGGATTGTGATAGCAGGCAGGCAAAAAGAAGGAAACAGCCATTGTTCTCTTTGTGACTTCCCAAATAGGTCCTCAAAATCCACATAAGAAACAGTAGTTTTGAAAGTCAAAGCTTTCTATTTTCAAGAGCCAAGTTCTGTAAAAGCTAAGAAAAGCACCTTGAGATTCCACAGGAAAGACCTTGAAAGAAGCGTGACATATAGTTTAAACTAGAACAATAGGTAAGAAAGTGAAAATGGCAGTACTTCTGAACCTTGGGTGAACATAGAATCACCTGGAAGAGCAATTAAAATGCCAATTCCTGGGCCTCGCCCCAGGCTAATGAAATCAGAATATCTCAGAATGGTCACTGAACATTGGCATTTAAAAACAAAAACAGGCCAGGAGTGGTGGCTCATGCTTGTAATCCCAGCACTTTGGGAGACCGAGGTGGGTGGATCATGAGGTCAGGAGACTGAGACCATCCTGGCAAACATGGTGAAACCCTGTCTCTACTAAAATACAAAAAATTAGCCACACGTGGTGGTACGCACCTGTAGTGCCAGCTACTCCGGAGGCTGAGGCAGGGGAATTGCTTGAACCTAGGAGGCGGAGGTTGCAGTGAGTCGAGATCACACCATTGCACTCTAGCCTGGTGACAGCAAGACTCCGTTTCAAAAAAAAACCCAAAAACCAAAGCCAAACCAAAACAAAACAAAGCAACAAATAAAAATCTCTGGATTTTTCTAATGTGCAGTGAAGGTTTGAGAATAAGTAAAACTGGGAAAACCCAAGGCTATTCTGATCTGGGAGGCAGAAAGAGAGGAAACAAGGTGTGCACCTGAAGTAGGTATTTGGGGCCTGATACCAGAAGAGAGCCAGGTGGATCTCATGGAAAGGATCAGTTCCAGCTTGGAAAACTGTCCAGTCCCATCTACTGCTATTAATAACATCAGATAATTGTGTGCAAGGTGAGGTCAATGACATTATAATTTGATTATGAGATTCTCTGAGGAGTCGTGACCATATTCCTCATTTTCCAGGGAAGATATTCCGTTGTCCAGTGCTTGTAGGTCATCTGGCAGAAGTGACACTCATCAGTGCCCTGACATTGCTGTGAACTATCCAGACTTCCCTGGTGGACATTCCCATTTTCAATGGTCCCGAAACAGAGGGAGGGTGTCCTCAACACTTTTATGGTGAAGTTATGCAAAAAGCAGCACATGAACTTGGCTGTGGGAAGCAAGAGTGGTTGAAACTCATTTCTGCTCTATAAAAAAGGGGTATCTCAACAAAACCAAATGATGAGCAGTAGATTTACTTCAGAAAGAGAATGGATTGTGTGAGCATAGCCTCCCTAACTAGGGGTTACCATGGTGATTTTGAAACAATCCTTGATGTACCTGGTAATATATTAGGATTTGGCTCTCCAGTGAAGTTGAGGTGTTCTTTTTAAAGGAACATTTAAAATTACTATAACTAGCAGAATTGAGTGTAAAGGAAGAAATACAAATGAAAATGCTGGCAATATTTCTGCATCCACCACCAAATTTTAAATGGCAGAACTGATTTTTTTTTTTAATGTGGTAAAATGGCTTTTAAGGGTAAATTTAACAATTTTTTTCAGACAACATGTAAGTTTTGACAAATTTTATAATGATAAAAACTTTAGAATGATTGTAACAGTCATACTTGCATGACTTTAATGTTAATAAGGTTATAAAATATCAAAGTATATGTTTTATGTAAAATACATCTGAAGAAAGTCAGAAAACCTCCCTAGGGGAGAGTTGGGGATTATTGAATCCTCCTCGGTGTTCATGTGTAGCCATTATGAATAGAGATGTCTTCAGCCAAAGCAGGAGATTTAATTTTTACAAAGAAGCAACCTTAGGAATGACACAGGTGGTAGTGATGCTGAACAGGAAAATAAAAATAGAATTCTCTGTACTTTGCGCCAAGTAAGCTGACATTGAGATCAACAGCACTGTGCATTCTAAAGTATTGCTGGATCAGTTTCATATTGAAAATAAAATTACCCTATTGTAAATCAAAAATAAAATTCTAAGCCCCCCAACCAACCGAATGGACCCCTCTTCTCGGTCAAGGGCATTTTAAAGTAAACCTGAAACACTAGTTCTGGTCATGATGGGAATGAGTGGTTGGATAGGATTCACTATTATCTTCCTCCCTTTGGAATTCAGGCACAGCTGACCAGCGTTAACATTAAAACAAAAACTTTAAGACTTACGAAACAGACTCTTCATGGCAATAACATACCAACGTGACAGATAGCAGGCTCTGAAAGAGATCGAAGTATTTTAGCTCAAAATGTATTTCTTTGACATATTTTGAAACGGCGTTGCAAAGCTGTCTCTTGTGGGGAAAGCCTACATGCTGGAGAAAATTCTCTTCCCTTTCCAGGTCTTTTTCCTGATCCAGGAGAGAATTAATAAAGAGTCTGGCACCTTTTAAAGTCTGACAAGAAACATTCTATTCTCTCTGAAGAATACATACATACAGTCTATTCTCTCTGAAGCCTTCATCTGCATAACAACAACCTTGGACCCCACAACCCCTATTTCAACTCAGACACTCCCTTGTACTGACTCTAGGTCTATAGATAAACTCTTTCAATCAATTACAAATCAGATAATCTTTGAATCCATCTAAGACTTGGAATCCACCCCCACCCCCGCTTCCAGTTGTTTCACTTTTCCTGACAGAACTAATGTGTATCTTATATGTATTGATTGTTATCTTATATCTCCCTAAAATGTATAAAACCAAGCTGTAGCCTGACCACCTTGGACACATGTTCTCAGGATCTCCCGGGGCTGTGTCATGGGCCATGATTACTCAGGTTTGGCTCAGAATAAATCTCTTCAAATATTTTACAGAGTTTGCCTTCTTTTGTCAACACTATTTTGAGAAATAGTCTTATTTAATGAGAATATAATTATTTTTATTGTGACTAGAACAGCCATAATATGAGTGGCAGAGTATGTTAAGGAGCTGGATGGCATGGCCTAGTACTTAGTCTGGGAGTTCTCTGCTGCCCATTTTCCCTGTGCATGGTTTTCTCAGGTATATGCTGAGACAGTTATTTCAACTGAGTTTTGGCAGAACAGCCAATAAAAATAGTGTAACTCATTGAGCAGAACATAAATATTCTTAAAACAAATCTGGGGAGAAGGTGAGGAAGGAGTAGTAACTGCTGATGTAAAGGGCTAAGCTGAAAACAATCAGAAAACTCCTATAATGTAATAGTTCTGCTTTTTCAAAAGCTTTATTTTTTTTTTCACCAAATAAGATTATAGGATGCCAAGTTAAATTCAGATTTCAGAGAAGCAAAAAATGATTTTTAAAAAAGTATTAGTACATCCCATTTAATATTTGGGGCCTACTTATATGAAGATATAAGGCACCTTGTATTTTATCTGGCAACTCTAAATAGGTAGTCACACCTATGAGGTGAGTCTTGAGCAGGCCCTCAAGGAAAGTTTCTATGAATAAAATGCTATTTTTTTCCCCCTGACTACTCTAAAGCCTGATATTCCACTACAAAATCATTCCTTTGAGTTAAGGCACTATCCAAGAGGTCTTTTAAAAATGCAAACATATCACATGATAGCATTATTTTATCTTAGTTTACCAGGGACTCATGCTATGAGACCCCAGTTTTTCACTGCCCCGATAACCACAGAGAAAGACTTTTGTGACCTGTGGGCTTAGCTCTATCCATTCATTAGCTAGTCCTGAACAAGGTAGACAATGCTCTTAAAGTCTCAGAATGACCACCAGGGGGTTCTGAAATATTTTTGTGGTTATGGTTTCTACTCTTAGGATGACTTGGCTTTTTATTATAGCAGTTTTGTGCCTCTGAAGCTGCAATCTTCATTCACTCGTATCTGTTGAGTCCCTCTATGCCTGGCACTATGCCAAGTATTTCAGATAAGAAGACTAAAAATAATGATTCTCATCTTTAATGAGTTTACAGTCATAAATATCAATACAACATGACATGCTATAATGTAGGTAGTACAGTAGAAGGAGGTTCTGGGTGCCAAGGGAGTATGTAAGATAAACCTTCAAATTAGAGTGGGGGTATTGTTACAGGTAGTTAGGCTTGCCTGGGGCAGGAGAGGGCTTTCCCCTACCCACTAGAAATGACAGGTGATGGTTTGGCAATTATCACATTCCTCTTTTAGAGTGATAAATTGGCAGCTGGTGCCAGGGAGAGGCTAGTTCCTGATGGTCCACACCTGTTAATATTAAAGTGTTAATTAAAGGTAGGCCCCAGGGAGAAGAAATTTCCTGGGCATGCACATTAAGAGACAAAAATGGCAAAGTATGATCTTCTGGGTATGCTCCACCAGAAAAAAAAAAAAAAGAAATCTTCAGATGGGCATGCATACAATTTCCTAAACACACCGTGCCTGCTCAATTCTGAAGGGTAAAAAGGACACTGCATATGTGGGAAGCCTACCATAAAGGAAGAGTCATGGGAAAGAGGTAAGCCTGTAAAGTCCCAGGATCAAGGTTAAAGGCTCTTTTCTCTCTCTTTGACCTTCAGGTGCTCACTTGGATCTCTTCCATGGGTTCCTTTTTTTCTTTCCTATTCTAAAGTCTTTTTAATAAACCTCCACTTCTGCTCTGGAACGTGCCTTGGTCTCTTTTTGGCTTTATGCCTCTCAGTTGAATACCTTCTTCTAAGGAGGCAAGGGCTGAAGCTGCTGCAGACCTGCATGGATACACTTGGGGTAACTTGGGGTGACTTGGGGTAACTTGGATCTTTTCCACCCTAATAGTGATATGAACAGGAGACAGGGAAATACCGGGTAGAAGAGGGTGGCCCCCTGCAAAGGTCTCACCCTCAAGCCTGGGTACCCGTGGCACTAAATGAGAACAGACATTCCTGTTTTCATGCCCAAAAAGTTGCCTTTTGGCCCACCATGGCCCCTACCCTGCACCCATATAAACCCCCAAACCCCAGGCTCCAGCAGCAGACCAGCAGACTAGCAGACCAGCAGATGGATGGCAGAATGACATGGCAGAGACAAAGAGAAGATGAGGAACATCTGGACGCCAAGAGGAGTTCAGTAGGGGACAGTCAGGGAAGAGTCCGGCTGCTGGGCGGCCAGACTCAAGGGGAAGGTCATCTTCCCACTCCACTCCCCTTTCCAGCTCCCCATCCATCTCACCGAGAGCCACCTCACCACTCAATAAAACCTTGCATTCATCCTCAAGCCCGTGTGTGACCTGATTTTTCTGGGATGCTGGGGAAGAACTTGGGATACAGAAAACTGTCACACTGGCCCTCTGCCCTTGTGAAAAGGCAGAGGGTCCACTAAGCTGATTAACACTCAAGCTGTCTGTGGACAGCAAAGCTGAAAGAGCTTTGTAGCACTGGGGTTGCAGGCACCCACCCCTAGACACTACTGTGGGGCTGAGAGCCCAAAGCACTCATCCTGGCCTCTGCACCTGCCGACCTGCATGCTCCCTATCCCACTAGGGATTTGAGCAGTGGGGTGACCAAACAAATGAACCACATCCCTGTCACACATCTTGTGACAAGGATCAGGGAACTCTCCCATTTCAACGGTGTTAGGAAAGACTTTTGGAGAAAGTGAAGCTTTAATAGAGTTTCAATGGCAATTAGGAACTGGCCAGATGAGAGGAGTAGGAGGAAGGAGGGAAAGGCCTTCTAAGAAGGGATTTGTTCATTCAGGGAAACAAAAGGGAGAGAGCATTCTGTTTTCTGAGAATTATGAGTATGATTATGCTTAGATCTAGGATGTCTGTTAGATTTGGGGTACAGGGTGGTGAGAGGTAATGCTGGAGTAGCAGGAGCAGATTATGAGGATGTCTCTGGCATGCTGAGAATTCTTTACCTGCATTTCCCATATTAAACGGACTAAGTAGGCCTCTGTCTCAGTTTCCCTTTCAGCCATTGGGCCATTTTTATAGGGCTAGAGTATTGTTCTGACCCCTTTGGCAGGAGTCAGGTATCATCCTGCTTGGTTCTTTTTAGTCTCTCCTTGGTCATGATGGTAGTGATGGCTATGATGTGTGTATGTATAACTAGAGGGTTAGGGATGAGCTAGATCTTATTTCTTGAATTACTGGATTGGGTCCAGATGACAATATAGTATAAGAAACCCAACACCATGCCCCAAATACGTTTCAAGTGTTTTTACTAGTTTACTTCTGCCACCATGTTCAATTACCAGATTGAACCTTCTTTGTTACAGATGATGAATTTATCAAAACTTAAGTTTATCACCCACTTTTGTAACTATAGATTGGAAAGATGAACACTGCTTTTAAGGAGTGGGCCAGGTTCCTAGTGCCAGTAGTTCAAGGTTCTAATTTTACTAGCAACTGTTCACCTATGGCATCTTGTCATGCCTCAAAGATGAGTTTCTGGAATGATAGCTCAATCAGGAGAGAAACAGTGAGGAGAGGAGGAATTCATTGCTTCTAGGGAGGACACCACAGAAGAGGTTGACTTTTTAGGGGCCACGGTAGGACTCACAGTGGGTCAGTGTTTTTTGCCAGACTCTGTCTCTTTCTTTGAACCCCCTCCTCTGCAATCCACCCATCCTTTAACGTTCTGGCTGCTTTGTCTCTATTGGTGTCCCACCCAGCTATTAGCTTCTACTAATTGCTAGCTGATTGTGCTATTGTTTTTGACAATGTCCTAGGGGCATAACTTGCTCCAAAGTCTGATCGAATTAAAGTCATCGTTTTGCCCAAGTAGTCTTTGAGGTTTTCTCTGACTCCAGGTGAGCTTTAGCTTTCTCTTTCCATGGTTCTCTTTTAAACTTCTGGGCAGGGGAGGTGTCTCGTGTGTTACTTGTGGCTATCATAAGCTACTAGCTTCCTTGTAAATGCTCACCATCAAGATTTTCATTGTTTTCCATGAAGTCCCTGGGCTTGAATTCATCTTCCTTGTTCCAAATTGAGTCTTGGAGAGAGCTATAGAGCCCTCTGTCTGAATGGCCTGACTTTCTCAGTGGGAAGAATGTCCATGCTACTCTGCTGGAGCTAGAGTCAGGAACAATAGCCCACTTCTCTCAGAATAACAATGCTATTCTGTGAGTGGGCACTGGGGATATGTAGTAGTGCCTGGTGTTCTCAGCTTGCCCCTCTTGGTATGTAACATCTATCTTATGGGAGGGCCAAGGATAGGGTAATTGGAGCCAAGTATTCTCAGCCTTTCATGCCTGTAGCAGAGCTTCTATCCTGCCAGGGGCTGGTGGAGGAGGGGAGTCCCAGACTTCTCTGCCACGTCTACTTGGAAGAGAGTTTCTACAACACAGATTAGGGGATGAAGGTGGGCTTGATAAATACTGACAGACTACCCCTTCCACAGAGAAGCCATCACCCTAGCTTGGGAGCTGGGAAAGAAGGAGCCCTGTCTTCTCAGCTGCACCTGCCCCAAGTTGAGTTTCCATCACACTGAGCTGTTCTTACTGAGATTTATTGTATTTTCTTGAATAAGTGTTTCTCCATTTGCTATATGCCCTTCGGACAATTTCCAGAGATTTTAAATTGTTGTTGCTTTTTTGTAGAAATATAATATTCTCTAGTGATGGTTGTTTTGCTGGGAAGAAGGTCCACAGAGATCCGCATACTACCATTCAAACATGTTTCATTTAAAATTATGTCTTAGATTCCATCTTGAGGAAGAACCATAGTTTATTCAACCTCTCTTTGTTTTGGAAGTTTTAATTTCTTCACAACACTGCAAAAATGCTACAGTGGCCACCAGTGTAGCTTGGTTTTAATATACATCCTGAATTATTTTCTTAGGATATGTCTCTTGAAGTTTCATAGATGGTTCTAAGCTAGTACCTGGCTGGATTCTAATGAGGGCTTAATCACTAAGGGCTTGAAAGTAAAATACCATCTTTTAAAAAAATTGTGTTTTCATGACACAAATTCTATTTCATGGTCAAAAGCTGACTCCTTCAAAGACCGAATCCTTTCTGTATGACCCATTTCGTTTTGTTTTCTTTATGAAAACCTCTTTCAGTCTTCAGATCATTTAGGTAGCAAAGGTATGGTTAGAGTTTTCTAGTCCTGATAATTAATTCCTCCCAGTTCTAGAATTTCTCAGCTGTTCCCCCAGTGCATGTAGTGCCCAAATATCTTAAAAAACATGATAAAACATGATTTTTATTAAAACTAAGACTTGTTCCTTCATAGGTTTTGGGAGTTGAAGTAGAGATTCCTAAAAGTAAACTTGTTCTATTTTAAAATTTCCTAATTTCCTCTAAAGATATTCCTGGTGCTAATCTTATTTTAAAATTCTTATCTCCTACTAGGCATTTCTCACTACTAGAAATGTGTCACGATAATAAGAAAATAATTTAAAAGATCTAAAATAAGGACCATGTGCTATTAAAGGTATTTAGGAGTGATCTCCTTGAGGAAAGTGTATATTTAGGAGTGAGGCATACCCATTTATTAGTTGTAAGTGGCTAGCCTTCACTGAGAAACTAAATTCTTTGTCTTGTTTAAATACTCAAGGAGATGTGTTCAGTTGTCATCCTTGTCCGTGTTTCCTCACTCTTAGACTATATTAATAAGCTTGCAGAAACTCTCTTCTCTAGCTAGTTTGGACTAATCGTTTTTCCCCAAGTATGTAATGTCCAGTCTCACCTCTTATTTTTACTTATGCTGCCTCCCCCATCTGAATTTCCATCTCTTACTTCTAATTATTTTTCAAGGCATAACAAAATAGCATGGAGAGGCTAATCTTTCCAGATATGAATATATTTAAGATTGGGTAGAACTAAATTAATGGGTCAGAAAAGAGTGGTGAATAACAGATTTAAATACACAGAAAATTTGGTCAATGAAAAAGCGTTTGGTTGCTCTGCAGCTCAAACCCCTTGAGGAAGGGGGAGCACGCAGACGGGCAGGTGCAGAGGCCTCGGCAAGTGCTCCTGCTCCACGGTAGTGTCTAGGGCTGGGTGTCTGCAACTCCCGTGTTACAAAGCTCTTTCAGCTTTGCCGTCCGCAGACGGCTTCAGTGTTAATCAGCTCAATGAACCCTCTGCCTTATTGCAAGGGCAGAGGGCCGGTATGACTGCCTTCTGTTTCCTGAGCTGTTGCCCAGCATCCCGCAAGAATTGGATCACACGTGGGCTGGAAGAATGAGTGCAAGTTTTTATTGAGTGGTGGAGGTGGCTCTCAGTGAGATGGATGCGGAGCCGGAAGAAGGGATGGGGTGGGAAGGCGGTTTTCCCCTGGAGTCCGGCCGCCTAGCAGCCTGACTCTTCTCCAACGGCCCTGGCCGAACTCCCCTCGGCATCCAGACGTCACTCTTCTCTCTTTCTCTGCTGCATCATTCCGCCATCGCTGGTGTGGTGGTCTGCTCTGGAGCTTGGGGTTCGGGGTTTATATGGGGGCAAAATAGGGGGTGTGGTGGACCAAAAGGCAACTTTTTGGGCACGAAAACAGAAATGCCTGTTCTCATTTAGGGCTGCGAGTATTCATGCTTGAGGGTGGGGGGCCTTTGCTGGGGAACTGCCCTCTTCTACCCAGTATTTCCCTGTCTCTTGTCCCTATCATTACCTGATTAAGGAATTTTGAAAACAGGTCTAAGCAGGCTTGGTTCAGCAACTTCAGGTTTCCTCTCATTTGTGGACTGTCCTCAGATGTACAAGTTCTATTCTGCCTTGTCACCCTGGGGAGGCCGGCAGTTGTGCAGATCTACTAGAGCTGAGTGCTAAGTTTACCTAAAGGAATATGATAATAGTAATAGGCTAAATTGCATCCTATAATGTAATCTTATCTTCAATAAAACTGATTTTAAAAATCTGCATCTTTTTGATAACAGCATCTACTTATCAGTTGGCTTTGAACTTGGAATAGAAAAGGAGCATGATTATATTACTCTAAAACCTCAGTCTCAAACTCGAAAAGCCATTAAAAAAGAAAACAATAAATAAAACTTCTATCAAGGCTCAAGACTTCTCTCATCATTGAAGGTCATGGTAAATCTTTTACTTTCCATCTCCCAACCTTTATACTGATATTCCTTGTTTGGCACTTACTTATTGCCATGTGTATTTATAGATTTGGTTGTATGATGTAGTCTCCTTTAGAGTGTGAACTTGTTGAAGGAAGACAATCTTTTAGTCATCTCTGAACACCTGAAGTGCTTTCCAAGGTATGCGCTCAGCAGATGATGAGTGGTTTCAACTGGGCTGAACAGCTCTCTAATGATTACTACAAACTAGTTCCTGGTATAGTGACTTATCTTAAACAATAATGTTAATGAATTTGTTTTGTACTTTGCAGTTTTCACACTGTACATCAAATGACATGACTTACCTTATTTAAACTTTAAAGAATCCCAGGAGATGAGCAGAACAAATATTTGTATTTTAGATGTGACAAAAAGATCTCAGAGAGGTGAGTTGCTTGCTCAGGATCATGGTGCTTATAAATAACAAAATCCAGAACTTCTAATTCCTAGGAGATAACTCTTTTATTTTTCCACAACTGTTTCTTGCATGAAGGTGAGACCCTCAAGTGACTTTCCAGGAATGTAAAGAATCCAACAGCATTAGAAAATATGTGATATTTCCAAGGCACTAGTTGAAATTTGATGTGAAATTCCATCTGACATGTTTGTAACAGCTTTAATTATTTAATCAATTTAATAACAGAATATTTAAAGTAGCAAAAAAAATCACTGGGCATAACAAATTTCATCCATAAATCAGACATTTTGCACCTCAATTTTTACTCTCATTTCTGTTTTGTGAACTAATTGGCAACACTTGATGGAAATTAAAGATGTAGACAGACTATAACAGGTGGAGCAATCACATCTTCACAAGGAAATTAATTTATATACACACACATACAAATACACACGCATATTCATAGCCTCTGATCCTGCCAAGGAAAGAACCCCAACAGTGTGGTTAGCTGCAATTATGGTTAAGTGTCATAAAACAATTTTGGCATATCATGGTGCCCTTAGGAATCGCAGTGATCTCTCAGTTCTTGGTCTTCCAAGCACGTTTCAATCTCCTATGAATTCATCCTTGCAAGTTTTCTTTTTGCTGTTTTGTTTGTCAGAAAAGTAATTTGACTACATCCTGCAACTTGTTTTGTGAAAGCGACTATCTTGCAAGCTGGACTAGAACAAAGTATGTCAGTATGATTTATAGAAATTGCTGTGACTCTGCTGCAATGAACAGACAGCTCCATATAGGACAGTGTGTATGCTCAAACGACTTTTCACAAGAATGGCTTCACTCAAATTTCCTGAGATTTTTTTTAATGCTTCTGTGATTACATGGTTCATTGAATGTTTGAGTAGAAGCAGTCTTTGATTACCTTGTGCCTTCTTTTTGGCAAATTCTAACATGATTTTTTTTTTCTGGCTTGAAAATTGCAAAACAAACAGGGTTCTTTGAGTTTAGATTAGACTATAGACCTGACTGCGAGGAGTCCAATAACTATTATTTTCTCCAAACTGTAATTTGGAGTTCACTAGGTACCTTATGTAAGGTAAGGTATGTGATGCGTACTAAGTAAGAAAACTCAGAATTGGTTATAAGTCCTCATAGTCCATTCCTTCTTATACCAAGATTGAGAGAAAAAGGAAGAATTTATTGTTATGAAATGTTCTATTCAATTCTTCAGTCAATACGAATTAGGAATAAGCCACTGTACATGAGCCATCTGGTATTGCTTAATTATGAAGCCAATATAGTTTCAAATAGAAAATGGTATATGTTTTAAAAAATTTCACTAGTTTCTCTATTTTTAAAAATCTAAGTCACCCAGCTTGGCATTTGCATGTTGTTTCAAAGCAAGATTAGAGTTGTGTTGTATATTTACAGAAAAGAACACTCATTCTTTTTTTTTTCCCTTCAGAATAAAAATAGCTAAATTAATAATACATGTTTATTGTAAACAACTAAATAAAACCAAACTACACAAAAATTTAAAGAAGGTAAATAGCATGTGAAGTCCTATAAAAGAGAGCAATTGCTAATATTTTGGTAAATATCTTATCCAACATCCCAAACACAAGCATATTTACTAAAATTGGGTGAAAAGAAATACATAATCATTTTTCATTCATTAAAATATTGTGCTCATTATTCTATATGAATAAATATAGCTTTATATTATAATTATTCATGGTTGCAAAGAGTTCCACTATATGGATACTCCATAAGTACTTTGATTCTTCATTAATGGATTTTAAATTATTTCCAGTTTTGAGCCTTTATAAATAATACAGGTTCAAAGGCACAACATATATGTACCACTAATTAATGCAATAAATTTTTAATGGGTGTTTTCTATGTGCCAGACATTATTCTAGGTGCTGGTGAGGTAGTAGTGAATAAGACATTGAAGACCTCAGCTTTTATGGATCTTAAATACTAGAAGGGAAGTGGAACAAATAAGTAATCAAGATAATTACAAAGAGTATTGTGTGGTTGAAGAATATAAGATAGGCAAATATAATAGTAACTGAGTGACAGGGAGAAGTACATTAACTAGTGTGGTCAAAAAAGGCCTTCCTAAGGAAAAGGGATTTTAGCAGAAACCTGAACAGAAGGAGCTGGTAAGAGAGAATTTTCTAGGCAATTGTCCCAGCACTGATTTGGGATGACCTGGGAATCTTTCAAGAACAAAAGTATGGGTAGTGAGTCTTTTTTTTTTTTTAATTTTACTTTAAGTTTTAGGGTACATGTGCACTACGTGCAGGTTAGTTATATATGTATACATGTGCCATGTTGGTGTGCTGCACCCATTAACTCGTCATTTAACATTAGGTATATCTCCTAATGCTATCCCTCCCCCCACCCCCCACCCGACAACAGGCTCTGGTGTTTGATGTTCCCCTTTCTGTGTCCATGTGTTCTCATTGTTCAATTCCCACCTATGAATGAGAACATGCGGTGTTTGGTTTTTTGTCCTTGCAATAGTTTGCTGAGAATGATGGTCTCCAGCTTCATCCATGTCCCTACAAAGGACATGAACTCATCATTTTTTATGGCTGCATAGTATTCCATGGTGTATATGTGCCACATTTTCTTAATCCAGTCTATCATTGTTGGACATTTGGGTTGTTTCCAAGTCTTTGCTATTGTGAATAGTGCCGCAATAAACATACACGTGCATGTGTCTTTATAGCAGCATGTTTTATAATCTTTTGGGTATATACCCAGTAATGGGATGGCTGGGTCAAATGGTATTTCTAGATCTAGATCCCTGAGGAATCGCCACACCGACTTCCACAATGGTTGAACTAGTTTACAGTCCCACCAACAGTGTAAAAGTGTTCCTATTTCTCCACATCATCTCCAGCACCTGTTGTTTCCTGACTTCTTAATGATCACCATTCTAACTGGTGTGAGATGGTATCTCATTGTGGTTTTGATTTGCATTTCTCTGATGGCCAGTGATGGTGAGCATTTTTTCATGTGTCTGTTGGGTGCATAAATGTCTTCTTTTGAGAAGTGTCTGTTCATATCCTTCACCCACTTTTTGATGGAGTTGTTTTTTTCTTGTAAATTTGTTTGAGTGCATTGTAGATTCTGGATATTAGCCCTTTGTCAGATGAGTAGATTGCAAAAATTTTCTCCCATTCTGTAGGTTGCCTGTTCACGCTGATGGTAGTTTCTTTTGCTGTGCAGAAGCTCTTTAGTTTAATTAGATCCCATTTGTCAATTTTGGCTTCTGTTGCCATTGCTTTTGGTGTTTTAGATATGAAGTCCTTGCCCATGCCTATGTCCTGAATGGTATTGCCTAGGTTTTCTTCTAGGGTTTTTATGGTTTTAGGTCTAACATTTAAGTCTTTAATCCATCTTGAATTAATTTTTGTATAAGGTGTAAGGAAGGGATCCAGTTTCAGCTTTCTACATATGGCTAGCCAGTTTTCCCAGCACCATTTATTAAATAGGGAATCCTTTCCCCATTGCTTGTTTTTCTCAGGTTTGTCAAAGATCAGATAGTTGTAGACATGTGGCATTATTTCTGAGGGCTCTGTTCTGTTCCATTGGTCTATATCTCTGTTTTGGTACCAGTACCATGCTGTTTTGGTTACTGTAGCCTTGTAGTATAGTTTGAAGTCAGGTAGCATGATGCCTCCAGCTTTGTTCTTTGGGCTTAGGATTGACTTGGCAATGCAGGCTCTTTTTTGGTTCCATATGAACTTTAAAGTAGTTTTTTCCAATTCTGTGAAGAAAGTCATTGGTAGCTTGATGGGGATGGCATTGAATCTGTAAATTACCTTGGGCAGTATGGCCATTTTCACAATATTGATTCTTCCTACCCATGAGCATGGAATGTTCTTCCATTTGTTTGTATCCTCTTTTATTTCATTGAGCAGTGATTTGTAGTTCTCCTTGAAAAGGTCCTTCACATCCCTTGTAAGTTGGATTCCTAGGTATTTTATTCTCTTTGAAGCAATTGTGAATGGGAGTTCACTCATGATTTGGCTCTCTGTTTGTCTGTTATTGGTGTATAAGAATGCTTGTGATTTTTGTACATTGATTTTGTATCCTGAGACTTTGCTGAAGTTGCTTATCAGCTTAAGGAGATTTCGGGCTGAGACGATGGGGTTTTCTAGATATACAATCATGTCATCTGCAAACAGGGACAATTTGACTTCCTCTTTTCCTAATTGAATACCCTTTATTTCCTTCTCCTGCCTCATTGCCCTGGCCAGAACTTCCAACACTATGTTGAATAGGAGTGGTGAAAGAGGGCATCCCTGTCTTGTGCCAGTTTTCAAAGGGAATACTTCCAGTTTTTGTCCATTCAGTATGATATTGGCTGTGGATTTGTCATAGATAGCTCTTATTATTTTGAGATACGTCCCATCAATACCTAATTTATTGAGAGTTTTTAGCATGAAGGTTGTTGAAATTTGTCAAAGGCCTTTTCTGCATCTATTGAGATAATCACGTGTTTTTTGTCGTTGGTTCTGTTTATACGCTGGATTACGTTTATTGATTTGCATATGTTGAACCAGCCTTGCATCCCAGGGATGAAGCCCACTTGATCATGGTGGATAAGCTTTTTGATGTGCTGCTGGATTCAGTTTGCCAGTATTTTATTGAGGATTTTTGCATCAATGTTCATCAGGGATATTGGTCTAAAATTCTCTTTTTTTGTTGTGTCTCTGCCAGGCTTTGGTATCAGAATGGTGCTGGCCTCATAAAATGAGTTAGGGAGGATTCCCTCTTTTTCTATTGATTGGAATAGTTTCAGAAGGAATGGTACCAGCTCCTCCTTGTACCTCTGGTAGAATTCGGCTGTGAATCCATTTGGTCCTGGACTTTTTTTGGTTGGTAAGCAATTAATTATTGCCTCAATTTCAGCTCCTGTTATTGGTCTATTCAGAAATTCAACTTCTTCCTGGTTTAGTCTTGGGAGGGTGCATATGTTGAGGAACTTATCCATTTCTTCTAGATTTTCTAGTTTATTTACATAGAGGTGTTTATAGTATTCTCTGATGGTAGTTTGTATTTCTGTGGGATTGGTGGTGATCTCCCCTTTATCATTTTTAATTGCGCCTATTTGATTCTTCTCTCTTTTCTTCTTTATTAGTCTTGCTAGCAGTCTATCAATTTTGCTGATCTTTTCAAAAAACCAGCTCCTGGATTCATGATTTTTTGAAGGGTTTTTTGTGTCTCTATTTCCTTCAGTTCTGCTCTGATCTTAGTTATTTCTTGCCTTCTGCTAGCTTTTGAATGTGTTTGCTCTTGTTTCTCTAGTTCTTTTAATTGTGATGTTAGGTTGTCAATTTTAGATCTTTCCTGCTTTCTCTTGTGGACATTTAGTGCTATAAATTTCCCTCTACACACTGCTTTGAATGTGTCCCAGAGATTCTGGTATGTTGTGTCTTTGTTCTCACTGGTTTCAAAGAACATCTTTATTTCTGCCTTCATTTTGTTATGTTCCCAGTAGTCATTCAGGAGCAGGTTGTTCAGTTTCCGTGTAGTTGAGCGGTTTTGAGTGAGTTTCTTAATCCTGAGTTCTAGTTTGATTGCACTGTGGTCTGAGAGACAGTTTTTTATAATTTCTCTTCTTTCACATTTGCTGAGGAGTGCTTTACTTCCAACTATGTGGTCAATTTTGGAATAGGTGTGGTGTGCTGCTGAAAAGAATGTATATTCTGTTGATTTGGGGTGGAGAGTTCTGTAGATGTCTATTAGGTCCGCTTGGTGCAGAGCTGAGTTCAGTTCCTGGATATCCTTGTTAACTTTCTGTCTCATTGATCTGTCTAATGTTGACAGTGGGGTGTTAAAGTCTCCCATTATTATTGTGTTGGAGTCTAAGTCTCTTTGTAGGTCTCTAAGGACTTGCTTTATGAATCTGGGTGCTCCTATATTGGATGCATATATATTTAGGATAGTTAGCTCTTCTTGTTGAATTGATCCCTTTACCATTATGTAATGGCCTTCTTTGTCTCTTTTGATCTTTGTTGGTTTAAAGTCTGTTTTATCAGAGACTAGGATTGCAACCCCTGCCTTTTTTTGTTTTCCATTTGCTTGGTAGATCTTCCTCCATCCCTTTATTTTGAGCCTATGTGTGTCTCTGCACATGAGATGGGTTTCCTGAATACAGCACACTGATGGGTCTTGACTCTATCCAATTTGCCAGTCTGTGTCTATTAATTGGAGCATTTAACCCATTTACATTTAAAGTTAATATTGTTATGTGTGAATTTGATCCCGTCATTATGATTTTAGCTGGCTATTTTGCTCGTTAGTTGATGCAGTTTCTTCCTAGCCTCGATGGTCTTTACAATTTGGCATGTTTTTGCAGTGGCTGATACTGGTTTTCCTTTCCATGTTTAGTGCTTCCTTCAGGAGCTCTTTTAGGGCAGGCCTGGTGGTGACAAAATGTCTCAGCATTTGCTTGTCTGTAAAGTATTTTGTTTCTCCTTTACTTTTGAAGCTTAGTTTGGCTGGATATGAAATTCTGGGTTGAAAATTCTTTTCTTTAAGAATGTTGAATATTGGCCCCCACTCTCTTCTGGCTTGTAGAGTTTCTTCTGAGAGATCAGCTGTTAGTCTGATGGGCTTCCCCTTGTGGGTAACCCAGCCTTTCTCTCTGGCTGCCCTTAACATTTTTTCCTTCATTTCAACTTTGGTGAATCTGACAATTATGTGTCTTGGAGTTGCTCTTCTCTAGGAGTATCTTTGTGGCATTCTCTGTACTTCTTGAATTTGAATATTGGCCTGCCTTGCTAGATTGGGGAAGTTCTCCTGGATAATATCCTGAAGAGTGTTTTCTAACTTGGTTCCATTCTCCCCGTCACTTTCAGGTACACCAATCAGACGTAGATTTGGTCTTTTCACATAGTCCCATATTTCTTGGAGGTTTTGTTCATTTCTTTTTATTCTTTTTTCTCTAAACTTCTCTTCTCACTTCATTTCATTCATTTGATCTTCCATCACTGATACCCTTTCTTCCAGTTGATTGAATTGGCTACTGAGGCTTGTGCATTCATCATGTAGTTCTTGTGCCTTGGTTTTCAGCTCCATCAGGTCCTTTAAGGACCTCTCTGCATTGGTTATTCTAGTTAGCCATTCATCTAATTTTTTTTCAAGGTTTTTAACTTCTTTGCCATGGGTTCGAACTTCCTTCTTTAGCTCAGAGTAGTTTGATCGTCTGAAGCCTTCTTCTCTCAACTCATCAGTCATTCTCCATCCTGCTTTGTTCTGTTGCTGATGAGGAGCTGTGTTCCTTTGGAGGAGGAGAGGCGCTCTGATTTTTAGAGTTTCCGGTTTTTCTGCTCTGTTTTTTCCCCATCTTTGTGGTTTTATCTACCTTTGGTCTTTGATGATGGTGATGTACAAATGGGGTTTTGGTGTGGATGTCCTTTCTGTTTGTTAGTTTTCTTTCTAACAGTCAGGACCCTCAGCTGCAGGTGTATTGGAGTTTGCTGGAAGTCCACTCCAGACCCCGTTTGCCTGGGTATCAGCAGCAGAGGCTGCAAAACAATGGATATTGGTGAACAGCAAACGTTGCTGCCTGATCGTTCCTCTGGAAGTTTTGTCTCAGAGGAGTACCTGGCCATGTGAGGTGTCAGTCTGCCCCTACTGGGGGGTGCCTCCCAGTTAGGCTACTCTGGGGTCAGGGACCCACTTGAGGAGGGTCCCTTCTGTCCGTTCTCAAATCTCTAGCTGCGTGCTGGGAGAACCACTACTCTCTTAAAAGCTGTCAGACAGACACATTTAAGTCTGCAGAGTTTTCTGTTGCCTTTTGTTTGGCTATGCCCTGCCCCCAGAGGTGGATTCTACAGAGGCAGGCAGGCCTCCTTGAGCTGCAGTGGGCTCCACCCAGTTCGAGCTTCCAGGCTGCTTTGTTTACCTACTCAAGCCTCGGCAGTGGCGGGCGCCCCTCCCCCAGCCTTGCTGCCACCTTCCAGTTTGATCTCAGACTGCTGTGCTAGCAATAAGCAAGGCTCCATGGGCGTAGGACCCTCTGAGCTAGGCATGGGATACAATCTCCTGGTGTGCCGTTTGCTAAGATCATTGGAAAAGCACAGTATTAGGGTGGGAGTGACCCAATTTTCCAGGTGACATCTGTCACCCCTTTCTTTGACTAGGAAAGGGAATTCCCTGACCCCTTGCGCTTCCCGGATGAGGTGATGCCTCGCCCTGCTTCGGCTCATGCTCGGTGCACTGCACCCACTGTCCTACACCCACTGTCCGACATTCCCCAGTGAGATGAACCTGGTACCTCAGCTGGAAATGCAGAAATCACCCGTCTTCTGCGTCACTCATGCTGGGAGCTGTAGACTGGATCTGTTCCTATGCGGCCATCTTGGCTCCACCCCATGAGTCTTAAATAGATTGAGTAATAGAGAGAGTGTTAGAAAAATAGGAAGAAAAAAGATTGCAGAAGTAGGCAGAGGTTGATCTTTTTGTGCCTCCTAGGCTGTGATTAGGAGTTAGAGTTTATTCTGAGTAGAAATTTTTTCAAAGTTCTAAATGCTATTTGAGGAATTTAAGTGTATTGGAGGTGCTGATTTTAGGTGAAGAAACAAGGGAAACATTTATTTGTCTTTCATCAAATATTTATGAAGCAATTGTCTCATACCAACCATATTTTATGGCCCCAAGTATAGGGAATGCTAGGATTCAGTAATTCCCCAAACAGAAGTCCTTGCCCTTTTAAAGCTGACATTCTAGCATCACATAATAGAATGTTTGGTAGCAATGCATGTGAAAATTAAAGCAGGGTAGCAGGATATGCACACATGCTGTTATTGCTAGGGTGATGGAAGGCCTGTTAAGAGATGACACGTAACTGATATTTCCAAGCAGTGAACAAGTGAGCCAAGCCAATATCTGGGGGATGATTGTTCTGGGCAGAGGAAATGGCAGGATCA